>NC_000001.11:52129592-52281107 GCF_000001405.40 Homo sapiens | reverse complement strand
AATGGAAGTAAAAGAAATAATAATAAAACGCACTTAAAACTTTTAACTCCTATTAAAAGAAGCAACATTCTATTAATACTAAAATAAAACCAAACTATGTATTGTAAGCCAAACGTGATTGAAGAACATAGTCCTCCACCTTTATATTTTAAAAAATCACATCATCGAAGGAAGTAATTACCAATGTAAGGCTAGAAGTAATTACAACAAAAGCCAATAATATAGCTTTATCTTCAGGTTGTGACCTAAAGGAAATATATTTTTATGTATATTTATTAAATTTAATATATGACCAAGAGATTCCAGCTATTTTAACTATAGTCCTTTCCAGGAAAAAATTCTAGATAATCAGCAACATGACTTTACTTGGCTTCATGCTGTAAAAATTAGTGAAAAGGATGGCTTTTCTGAACTACTTAGTTCCACTCCTTCACTTTAAGGCTATATGGAGAGTATGAACAGCAGAAACCATATGTAGTCAAAAACAATGTTTAATCCTTGACACTTTTACTCTTCATACCCCAACACAATGGGATCCCCAAAGGAACTGAAAAAGGACTCAAATAAAATTATGAATACCACCATGTAAATCAAAACAAATGTTAATCAAAAAAACAAAGACATCTTTATTTCACTTTGGGAATCCTTGCTTTATGTACCTAAATAGGACATTCCTCATGATGGTATATACTTCAAGAATCTAGGTTAGCTAATTTTTTTTTTTTTTTTAAACAGGGTCTCACTCTGTCATTCAGGCTGGAGTGCAGTGTCATGATCTCGGCTCACTGCAACCTCCGTCTCCTGGGCTCAAGAACTCCTCCCACCTCAGCCTCGAGAGTAGCTGGGACTACAGGAGCATGTCACCATGCCCAATTTTTTTTTTTTTTTTTTTTGGTAGGGATGAGGTTTCACCATGTTGCCCAGGCTAGT
The DNA here is from genome assembly GCF_000001405.40 of Homo sapiens. Classification (NCBI taxonomy): domain Eukaryota; kingdom Metazoa; phylum Chordata; class Mammalia; order Primates; family Hominidae; genus Homo; species Homo sapiens. The sequence goes on along the minus strand of NC_000001.11, from coordinate 52,280,177 downwards.
CTCGAACTCCTGGGCTCAAGTGATTCATCTGCCTTGGCCTCCCAAAGCACTGGGACTACAGGTGTGCACCATGGTGCCTGGTCTTAGGTTAGCTAATTTCTAAGCATAATTTATAAACTAGATATGGCAAATTGAAATTTCAAGCAAATTCATTTTAAATCTGATCCTAGAAGGTAGCAAGCATTAATAACTGGCCAAACATACAAGAGTGTGATTAGCAAGTAAGCCAGAAACCCACATTTCATCAATGTAGAACTTCTAAGGAAGTAGTATATGTTTCTGGTTTCCAAAATCAACTTAAGTACACATGGAGAACTGCAGGATGGTTCCCCAGAGGTTCTGTCCTTTAAAATTGCCTATTAACACTCATTCAGAATAAATGCATTCTCTAAATAATTCTCAAAATTACTAGCTGGCGCAGTGGCTCACATCTGTAATCCCAGCACTTTGGGAGACCAAGGCAGGCAGATCACTCGAGTTCAGGAGTTCAAGAACAACCTGGGCAACATGGTGAGACTCCTGTCTCTACAAAAAAATACAAAAAAAATTAGCCAGGTATGGTGGTGTGCACCTGTAGTCTCAGCTACTTGGGAGGCTGACGTGGGAGAACTGCTTGAGCTCAGGAGGCAGAGGTTGCAATGAACAGAGATCATGCCACTGCAATCCAGCCTGGGTGACAGAGTGAGACTCTGTCTCAAAAAATTCTCAAATACTGTCGTCTTTCTCATCCTGATGCCCATGATGCTAGCACCAACAATTGAGAAGTTTCTTCTGAATCTCAATTTATGATGTATTGAAGCTTTACTGTGTGTTAGTTAACACTTTTCCTAAATAAAGTTTTGCACCATAATTGAGGTTTCTGGGATTAAAACACAGCATGTAAATTATTTGAGTAGCCTGTATAATTTATCTACCACCAGTTATTCTGGTGGTAAGTTGTGATTTAACATACTCATCTCAAGAAGAACTTAACTCAGATAAGTTCAAGATTTGTTTGGCTTTCATCCATGGAGAATTCACCTACCTCACCCCTGTAACTAAATGTGAGAGTTTCGGTTAGTTCCACAGCTGTCCTCTGGGATATATCATTTTATAAAAACCAACTTTTTCAGAACTCAGTGTTCAGTAAGATGTGGCTAGGCCAGGCGCGGTGGCTCATGCCTGTAATCCCAGCACTTAGGGAGGCTGAGGCGGGCGGATCACCAGGTCAGGAGATCAAGACCATCCTGGCTAACACAGTGAAACCCTGTCTCTACTAAAAAAAAAACAAATACGAAAAATTAGCCGGGCGTGGTGGCGGGCACCTGTTGTCCCAGCTGCTCAGGCAGGAGGCTGAGGCAGGAGAATGGCGTGAACCCGGGAGGTGGAGCTTGCAGTGAGCCGAGATGGTGCCACTGCACTCCAGCCTGGGTGACACAGCGAGATTCTGTCTCAAAAAAAAAAAAAGAAAAAAAAAAAGATGTGGCTCTATATAAAAATACTTGTGTGTAATAAATCTGAAAGTTTTATGTACTATGAGTCAGTAAAACATCTGATTTTAATTTTTAAAAATTTATAACTTACAATTTACAATTTTAACCATTGACAACAAATTTGCATTTAAAACAAATACAAGTGGGTCAGGGCCACCATCCTCCAACTGCTGCATTACTGAAATCTGTGATGGTTTCTCTTCCACAGCATAGTCTGAAAGGGGAGAAAACAATGTAATAGATTGGTTAAAGGAACAAATCAAGAAAGAGATCAGATGGAGAAATGAGCTAATTATTCACAGAAAAGAGACATGCATTTGATTTATCAATAGGTGCATACAGAGCATGGTTTGTATCTGCTGGCTCAGTATCAAATTAATAGTGCCCTCTTTTACTCTCAAAAGTGACCCAGTCCACCTTAGATGATAATGTGGTTATCCTGTGTATAGACCTCTCCCCACAGTGGTTTGTGCCACAATCTAAAGACTACCTTTCTATTTAATAAAAATTTTCCAACTATTATAACAAGAATTTCACATAATAAATGTTCAAGACCAGCATTTAAAATAACTCATGATATACAAGAAAGTGATAATATACTAGTTACCTCTGGAAAGGATATCAAATAGTTGGGGTAGAAGAGAGCCCTACCTTTTACTCTATGACCTTTTGTACTGTTTGACATTTTTGACAATTAAAAACTTAAACTTTAAAAAATGAACCCAGAAAATAAAAGTATTGTGTGTGACTGGCTTCATAAAACAATTCCTTTAAGTATAATTTAAGAGTTTAGTACATATGTCACTAAAATCATCAGTAAATCACACATAAGATTCTGAACATGAACAAGTTAATACTGAATGTAACTCTTCTCATTTAATCTCTGGAAGCACAGTATGTGCTTCAGCATCTCATTTTGAATGACAGTGGTCCTTTCAGCTTGAAGTCAAATCATGCGTAATAATCACTGTAGAACCTAGAGATATGGGAAAGGAACTGAAAACCTAAAAGTTGAATGTTGCTTGGTTGGTCTTATATAAAATGCATATTTGAGGGACAGTCAGGTAGAACAAAGTAACATCATTTCCCATTTTCTAATGGAAATTTTAAAATGGATTTTTTGGATACAATGGGAAATATCTACTCCATTATTAAAAATATTTATTGGAAAGAGAAATCCTGAGTTTAAAATTTTTTAAGTAAAGTCATCCCACTGGAATAAAAAATTACAAAATTTTGATGAAGAGACTGTAATATAGTTTAAGTAATATAGATAATTCACTGTTCTTTCTTGGTAGGAGAAGTTTTGACAATTAGATTTAACGGACATAACTTTTTATGAAAATGGAATCCAACAATCTGACTCTTTTTAACAACAGAGTAGGCCAATTTAGTTCCCTGTTAATCTAAGATTTATTAAAATAAAAATCTGAACCCTAAGCAGCAATTTTACTAACAATAGATATTTTTACAATAGATAATTTTACTAACAATAGGTATTTTACTAACAATAGAATCCAACAATCTGACTCTTTTTAACAACAGAGTAGGCCAATTTAGTTCCTTATTAATCTAAGATTTATTAAAATAAAAATCTGAACCCTAAGCAGCAATTTTACTAACAGTAGATATTTTTACAGGGTCCTGGTAAAGAAGCAAAAGCATTATGCAGTCAAAAGAATGCTTAACTGTATGTGAAAGTTCACTGCTGAACTATCTGGGACATAGCTGCATTTGAGAGTACAATATAGACAGCATTTGCTGAGAGCCTACTACAGGCCTAGCACCATGCAAGGAGCAGTAAATGCAAGTATAAAATAAGATGAAGAATTTCATAGTCTAAGTGAAAGAATACGATCTGAAAATATAATATCTAAATTGCAATGAGAAAAAGTGTTAATGTAGCCAACAGTCTATAGGAACCACTATTAGAACAGAGATAATGAAGCAAATCACTATTTTCTAAGCAGCCCAGGTAAGGATTCAGAGAAGAATTAACCATTAAGCTGGATTTTAAAAGGTTGAGGAGTTCTTCAGGAAGTCTACAGTAGAGAGGGGTATTCTAGGCAGAAGAAAGGAAGAAATGGAAAATATTAATTACATGCCTACTTTATGCCAGATACTTTCTTGGTATGTACTTACAGGTATGATATCTAACTTAATAACCACAATGACTTTTAAGTAGGTGTAGTTATATAATTGTTTTAAATAAAACAGACTAGGAAACAAATTCAGAGAGGATGAATGACTTGCCAACTGGATCACACAGCTAGAATGGAACGGTACTGGCATTAAAAGTCAGGTTTGTTCAATTCTGAAGTCCATTCTTTCCCATTATTCCACAGCACAAGAAAAAGTACAGAAGAATGAAAAGTAAATATTCAAAAAATAGCAAATAATCTGCAGTATACATGTAAGGTGCTGGGGAATAGCTGGAAATAAAGTTGATAATAAATGGCTAGAAAGACAGGCTGAGATAAGGTTATAAGAAACATTGTCAGACCGGGCATGGTAGCTCACGCCTGTAATCCCAGCACTTTGGGAGGCCGAGGTGGGCAAATCACCAGGTCAAGAGTTCAAGACCAGCCTGGTCAACATAGTGAAACCCTGTCTCTACTAAAAATACAACAATTAGCCGGGCATGGTGGCATGCACCTGTAGTCCCAGCTACTCAGGAGACTGAGGCAGGAGAACTGCTTGAACCCGGGAGGCGGAGGTTGTGGTGAGCTGAGGCTGTACCACTGCACTCCAGCCTGGCGACAGAGTGAGACTCCATCTCAAAAAAAAAAAAAAAAAAAAAAATTGCTTGCTAAGGTAAGTAATTTACACTAAAGACATTGGGAATCCATTAAATATTTCTAAGTAAAAGCAATATAAGATAATATCTATGTTTAAAAACATAACTGGCAACAGTGTGGAAGACAAAATGAAGGAAAGAAAGACTGAAGGCAAGGAGACCAGTTAAAAGCCTAGGACAAAGTTCAGGAGAGGTTAATTAATAAGCCACCTTCTAAAAATGTAGTAATTGTATACTGATCCATATATGTCAGCAATAAAATTTCACACTAATCATCAGAGAAATGCAAATCAAAACCACAATGAGATATCAACTCACACCAGTCAGAATGGCTATTATTAAAAAGTCAAAAAACCATGGATGCTGGTGAGGCTGTGGAGAAAAGGGGACATGTATACACTGTTGATAGAAATGTAAATTAGTTCAGCCACTGTGGAAAGCAGTTTGGAGATTTCTCAAAGAACTTAAAGGAGAACTACCATTCAGCCCAGCAATCCCATTACTGGGTGTATATCCAAAAGAAAATAAATTGTTCTACCAAAAAGACACATGTACTTGAATGTTCACCGCAGCACTATTCACAATAACAAAGACATAGAATCAACCTAACTGCCCATCAGTGGCTGACTGGATAAAGAGACCCTGTCTCAAAACAAAAAACAAAAACAAAAACAAAAAAAAATTACCCATTGGGTACTATGCTCACTACCTGGGTGACAGGATCAATCATAACCCAAACCTCAGCATTATCCACTATATCCATGTACCAGATTGGCACATATACCCTTTGAATCTAAAATAAAAGTTAAAATTATAAAAATAAAATTTCACATAATATTAAGCATTCTTTTGATTAGATAATAATTTTACTTCTTATCAAGATCCCTAAAAATATTTTTAACAGTAAAACTGCCATTTAAATTCAGTGCTCTTCACACTTACTATACGTTCTTTCTGAATGTATATTATACCTCAAAATGAAAAGCTAAATAAATGACTGTATCAGAGTGGGTTCATCCTAAACCACAAGCAATCCTTCAGAATATTATGTGCTTTGAAATATTTTTAAAAACTGCTAATAAACTACATTTACATTATAAGTAATATTATATCCATTCAAAAACTGAAAATGACATTATAATATAAAAACATAAGCATCTACTCTAAAATAATAACAGCAACAACCATTTTCATAGTTTTGGGGGAGTTTGTTTTGTTGGATAAGAGAAAGGTGAATGTCACTCAAATTCTGTCTCTCTACCTTAATTAGAAGGTAACATTTGGCAGATAGAACTATCACTGTTTAAATATGTAGTCCACTTACCTCCTTTTACACCAGTGGAGATGAGAATGGGAGGAAGGCCATCTTCAGGAATAAGATTCATTGCACTTCCAACAGGACTTCCAACCTGAGTTATACTCCCAGAGAATAGACAAATATCCGTCTAGGAAAAGCAAATCAACAAAGTGAGCACTACAGAGAATTCAAGACTTTGGCAGGACATAATTAAAAATACAAATGGGAACTTAAGTGAAAATCTGAAATTCATACTTTTTGAAAGGTAGCACAAAATATTCATTAACCCATGGATTAAAAAAAACAAAAAAACAAATCAGGCTTATACTATGAAAATGTTTTCAAATGTGTAAGTTTCTCCTTTTGGTATCATCAAATCATGGTAATGACAGAAGAGGCCTTAAAACCTGCATTAAAGCTTCCTTTACCCAGGTTTCTTTTGCCATAAGAGAAAAATATTTTTAAAAAACTGTAGTGGCAAAAGAAACAAAACTTCAATATTATTTCATAATTTCTTAATCTTTAATACCTTGGGAACTACTTAAGGTCTAATTTATATTGCTTTTAAAAATTAACTTTGAAAACAGTGGTGATAGTTGCAAAACAATGTGAATGTACTTGATGCCAATGAATTCACTTAAAAATTGTTAAAATTGTAAATCATTTGTTATATATGTTAATATTTTTCCACAATAAAAAAGGGAAAAAAATCAACTTTGATAAAATGTCATCATTTTTCATTTACTATGTAATAAAATAAATCTTGAAGTTCATTTTTTTTTTTTTTTTTTTTGAGAAGGAGTCTCACTCTATCGCCCAGGCTGGAGTGCAATGGCATCATCTACAACCTCTGCTTCCCAGGTTCAAGCAATTCTCCTGCCTCAGCCTCCCGAGTAGCTGGGATTACAGGTGCGTGCCACCACGCCTGGCTAATTTTTGTATTTTTAGTAGAGATGGGGTTTCACCTGTTAGCCAGGATGGTCTCAATCTCCTGACCTTGTGATCCGCCAACCTCGGCCTCCCAAAGTGCTAGGATTACAGGTGTGAGCCACTGCACCCGGCCTGAAGTTTGTTTTTCTTTGCATTACTAGGCAGATCACATTAGCTATATTTAATGAAGTATAAGGTTGCAAAACATGTTGGTTGGCGTTAAATCCACTTAATTATTAAATAGAACATGCTCAAATGTTTATTAAAATGATGCTCTCCTCTCTACATTCTCTATAACTTTTATTTCCCATACTATACAGATGTATATTCTCTATAACTTAAACATGAAATAGAAGCTTTTAAAGAGTTAAAAGAGGCCAGGTGCGGTGGCTCACGCCTGTAATCCCAGCACTTTGGGAGTCTGAGGTGGGTGGATCACCTGAGGTCAGGAGTTTGAGACCAGCCTGGCCAACATGGTGAAATCCCATCTCTACTAATAATACAAAAATTAGTTGGGCGTGGTGGCGCATGCCTGTAATCTCAGCTACTAGGGAGGCTGAGGCAGGAGAATCACTTGAACCCAGGAGGCGGAGGTTTCAGTGAGCTAAGATCGCACCATTGCACTCCGCCTGGGCAACAAGAACAAAACTCCGTCTCAAAACAAAAAGTTAAAAGAAAAACAGTAAAAGCTGTTTTTAACATGTATAACAATATTCATACGGCCGGGTACAGTGGCTCACGCCCGTAATCCCAGCACTTTGGAAGGCCAAGGAAGGCAGATTGTTTAAGGACAGGAGTTCAACATCAGCCTGGCCAATATGGTGAAATCCCATCTCTACAAAAAATATAAAAATTAGCTGGGCGTGTGCCTGTAATCCCAGCCACTTGGGAGGCCGAGGCAGGAGAATTGCTTGAACCTGGAAGGTGGAGGTTGCAGTGAGCCGAGATCCTGCCACTGCATTCCAGTCTGGGCAACAGAGCGAGACTCAAAAAAAAAAAAAAAAAAAAGATTATTTCTAGCAGCTTCATTTCATTCATAATAGCCAAAAACTGGAAACAATTTGAATGGCCACTAACAGGAGAACATAACATAAATGATGGCATATCCATACAATGGAATACTACTCAGAAATAAATTAATTTTTGATGCATATGGATAAATCTCATAATATTAAGTTGAGCTTAAAAAGCTAAACACAAAACATTATATACTATTGTTTGGATTTATATGAATTCAAGAATAAGCAAAACTAATCTGTAGGGACAGAAGTGAGAACAATGGTTACCTTGATGAAAGGAGAAGGTACTGACAGAAAAAGTGCATAAGGAACCCTTATGGAGTGCTGGAGATGTTCTGTATCTTCACCTGAATGGTGCTTACATATTTTATGTGTGTGTGTTTGTGTGTGTATACACACATGCACATATATATAAAACCATGTATAAATTCAAGGTGTTTCCTAAAGATTCATGCTCCTTAGTCATGCATTTTGCTACATATATTGTATACCTGAACAAACATTAAAACTATTTCTTCAAAATATGGCTGGACATGGTGGCTCATGCCTGTAATCCCAGCACTTTGAGAGGCCAAGGAGGGGAGATCACCTGAGGCCAAGAGTTCAAGACCAGCCTTGCCAACATGGTGAAACCGTCTCTTACTAAAAATACAAAATTTGCCAGGTGTGGTGGTGGGCGCCTGTAATCCCAGCTACCCAGGAGGCTGAGGCAGGAGAATCACTCAAGCCCAGGAGGCGGAGGTTGCAGTGAGCTGAGATCATGCCACTGCACTCCAGCCTGGACAACAAGAGCAAAACTCTGACTCAAACAAAGAATAAAATAAAATAAAATAAATATGCCCATGTTTTGCCATACTTCTGTCTCTACTTAGGACAAAGTTTTTAGGACTATACATTTTTAGTGGGATTTCTAAAATTTTCCGGTATGGCATCATATAGGAACTTTATAAAATTTTACTGGCAAACTACCATTAACTGACTTGAAGGCCTGGTACAGAAAATAATCTATTCTAACCTACTATTGAATGGTGCAAAAATCCTCCTTTTAATATCATAAAAAGTGGTCAGTTGGTCTCTACTTAAATGCCTTCTGTGAAAAGGCATTTACTGTGGGGCTTAAAATCTAGATGACGGGTTGATGGGTGCAGCAAACCACCATTGCACATGTATACCTATGTAACAAACCTGCAGGTTCTGCACATGTATCCCAGAACTTAAAGTATAATAATAATAATAAAAAGACATTTACTTCATTTACTGGGCACTTGTTAAGTGCCAGGCACTCTACTAGACCATAAAAATAAGAAAAATATTAATATTTTCTAGTCTGGCATTAAAGAGTTTGCTTTCTCTCATTTTACCACATAAATATTAGAGTGTTGCACAATGTGAGAGCACAAAATAATGTGGCTTAGCCTGTCTTATAATGAGCAGAAAATTGTTTCCCTATAACATTCACTCACTAGACTTTCCTCATTCTTTCAAAAATATTTATAGTTTAAGAACCCATCATACAAACTAAGAGATAGGAAAGAAATTTAACAGAAAGAGAAAATCATCACCCTCCTGCCTCAGCCTCCTGAGTAGCTGGGACTGCAGGCATGTGCCATCATGCCCAGCTAATTTTTTAATTTTATATAGAGACAGAGTCTGACTATGTTGCCCAAGCTGGTCTCAAACTCGGGGTTCAGGCAATCCTCCTGCCTTGGCCTTCCAAAGTGCTGGGATTACAGATGTGAGCCACTGCACCCAACCCAAACTAATACTTCTTGATGTGATCCTTTAAGAAATCACCCTCACTTATGTAGGATTGTCATTACTGCCAAAAAATGTTTAATCTGAAACTAGTCATGAGAAAAAAAAAAAACAGACAAATACAAATTGAGAGTATCATGTAAAACATGGCCCAAATACTTAAATATTAATGATATAAAAACTTTAAAAAAGAGAGAGAACTATTCAAGATTAAAGCAAACCAAAGAAATATGACAACTAAATGCAACTGTGGTCCTTAATGAGATCTTGATTTTTAAAAATAAATTTTATTTTAAAAATTAATATATCTGTGCACACACATATATGTAAAAATGAAAGCTATAGGCCAGGCGCGGTGGCTTACGCCTGTAATCCCAGCACTTTGGGAGGCCAAGGAGGGCAGATCAGGAGGTCAGGAGATCGAGACCATCCTGGCTAACATCGTGAAACCCCATCTCTACTAAAAATACATAAAAATTAGCTGGGCATGGTGGCGGGCGCCTGTTGTCCCAGCTACTCGGGAGACTGAGGCAGGAGAATGGCGTGAACCCGGGAGGCGGAGCTTGCAGTGAGCCAGGATCGCACCACTGCACTCCAGCCTGGGCGACAGAGCAAGACTCCATCTCAAAACAAAACAAAACAAAAAAATTAAAGCTATAAAGAACATTATTGTGACAATTGGGGAAACCAGAATTACATGTTAAGTTTCCATCTCATGTGATAATTGCATTGTGGTTGTATAAGAAAATGACTTTTCTTAGGGTACACAAGCTGAACTATTAAGTGGTGAAGTGCAACCAATCCTTAAATGGGTCATAAAAAAAAAGCGTGTGTACTGTGAAGTGGTAGAGCAAATGTGGCAAAATGGTTAAGTTGATGAAGATAGGTGAAGAGTATATGGGTATTCACTGTACTATTCTTGTAACTTTTCTGTAGGTTGAATTTTTTTCCAAATAAACAGTTGTGGCCAGGCTTGCCTACAGTCCCAGCTATTTGGGAGGCTGTGGCAGAAGGATTGCTTGAGCCTGGGACGTTAAGGCTGCAGAGAGCCATGTCTGCGGCACTATACTGGAGCCTGGGCGATAGAGTGAGACCTTGTCTCAAAAAAAAAAACCAAAACAAACAAACAAAAAAACAGTTGGGGGGAATAAAGAAAAAACTTTCTTGACAAAGTCACTGTGGAGATACAAAGAAGGATAAGACACAGTTCTGGCTGTCACCCTCTGCAGCCACAGAAAAATTCAAAAACTAGAAATATTTGAAGACAGATATTACATGGTTCAATAACTCACCAAACAGGTAAGTCAGCTCTGCATGTCAAAAAATCTAATCTTAACAACATGCAATTTCAATTACAATCAAACTCACAAATTATATAGGATGTAAATGTCTAAAAAAATATTACTTATCATTAATATAAATAATTAGTAACTAACAATTCTATGAAAACATCAGGAGTAAAATTTTTATCCAATCCTGATAGGGTGTGGTGGCTCACACCTGTAATCCTAGCACTTTGGGAGGCTGAGGGGGTGGATCACTTGAGGTCAGGAGTTCGAGACGCAGCCTGGGCAACATGGTGAAACCCTGTCTCTACTAAAAATACAAAAATTAGCCTGGCATGATGGCAGGCGCCTGTAATCCCACCTACTTTGGAGGCTGAGGCAGGAGAATTGCTTGAACCTGGGAGGTAGAGGTTGCAGTGAGCCAAGATCACGCCACTGTACTGCAGCCCGGGCAACAGAGACTCTATCTCAAAAAAAGAAAAAAAAGTATCCAATCCTAATGTAAAATGTGGACTTGGGTTGGCTACGATGTGTCAGTGTAGGTTCAACAAGTGTAACAAGTGTACCACTCTGGTAGGGGATGTTGATAAGCCAGGGTTTTAAACTCAGCTCCTCAGGCCCTTTCATGTTACCTGCTCTTCCTCACCATAGCACTCCTGAGAGGCTGCCATGGAACCTGGGGAACATGCTTTAAAAACCAATGTAGCAAGGGGACAGAATTCCCCACAGCCCGACTGCTAGCTAAAGTGGAGCACCTGAGCTCATCTGAGAACAATCTTCATTAAGAACCTTTCTCCTGAAAAAACTTCTAAATATACAGCAAAGAACAGCAGCTGATTTTTGCCACATTTACTTTATCCATATATGTGCACGTATACACTAAGTTGTATCCAAAACCTACAGAGTTCCACACAAAAGTAATTCAACAGAGGCAGCACAATGCTGAGTAAAGTAGCTATGCAATTTTAGTTGCTGTTTTGTTTTCTTACCTCTGCTGGTAGAGGACTGGTAGTTACTGGCTTGACTGGGTCGTGTGACACAGCCAGGGTTCCTGCAGAGGAAGTTCCATTCATTGTTAATTTGGCTGCATCAGCAACTTCTCCATTGGGCAAGATCCCATCAGCAAACCAAACTCGCCTCTGCTCTCTGGGCTGAGCCACTTGAGGGGCCAGAAAAATAAAACAGGCATCAATGTGGCATTGGAAGGTTTTCTAACATCAAAGAAGAGAAGGTCACCAATTCCAGATGTACAAAGAAATCATTACTTGGCAACTTACAATCAGAAACATCAGAAATGTAACTGTATATAAAAGTGGTTATAAATGAATTAAAAATACAAATTTAAATATATTCTTTACTTGTTTAACTTATATGCAAAGAGTAAAATACTTTGCTTTGAAATATTAAGAGTTCTTAAATACATCTATGATTATGTCACATACTCTGTCCCGTATCACTGACAGAGAAACTAAGGAAAGTGTTCAAGGGCCTCGGAAATAAATTAATAGCATGGTGAAAAAAGCAATAGACATTCACATTTTCTAAAGTTATGAGGTTTCCAAAGAAATTAAACATCTGGTAAAGTGATATGGTACTTTCAAAGGGCAAAAGATGCCCTGAAGAATGTTAAAGAATAATTCATTTATAACAGAAGAGCTGGCACAGATATGTAAGAATTGGGAAGCAAACTGACCAGATCTTTGCCTGAAGTGTAACTGAAGAAGAAAAAGACTGATCTGGCAGTGCAAAAGTAATTTGTGTTTTAGTAAAAAGACAGGGAAAAAGCTGGAAAACTGAGTCTGATGAAATGATCCCTTTAAGTCCAGTTTTAGAAATCAATTCAAACAGCCAAAACACACAGAGACTAGGGAAGAACAACAAAAACAACAAATGAAGAGAATAAAGATTTTAAGAAAGCCTAAATTCATAAAAATACAAGGAGTATGACTAAGGGATGATCTGAAAAGAGAAAAAATGGGGAAGAGTATGATAATGTCAATAGAAGTCTATGATCTTCAAAAGGAAAGGTGGGTTATTTAGCAAGGGGAAGGGAATATTAATAGATGAAAAGATAAAATTAATGAAGGAAGACTGATTTTAATTACCAAGGGAAACTTGATAAGATCATTTTAAGGAAATAAATGTTATTTTTACTATTCATAATCCCCTGCACTTACACAGTGCCTTTCATCTGACAATATTATCATCATAAAGATATAATAAACCAATGTAAGTTGAGCCTGTAATTTTCTACCTATCATATGATATAATCAGAATTAAAGTTCTAGATTTAAAGTCTATGTCCCTAACACAAAAATGTTCATATTTTTATATGGACAGATTAAAAATGAAAAGAGAAAATGGCAATGTATACTCCAAAAAGCAATACTTGAATGGGCTGGTCGGAAAGAAGAACTCTCATTTTTATCACTTACTAAACTCCTACAAAGAACATTAAGACAGGCATGAGGTAGGCTAGGAATTTACAGATTGACTTCAAATTCTGCACCTCTTTTTAAGGACAAGCAGTGTAATTACTCCATTCTTAAGTTGGAGAGGAGACTGACATATATTCTGAGGTGCCTCTAAAATACCAAGCAACACAAATATTATTCTCTACTTGCCCAGAAATAGTCTTGACACATTTCTCACCTTGTTGTTCCATTTTAATAACCACCCAAAGAGACTTATCTGCAGTGTTTTTTAAGACTTGTGCTGTAAAGTCATATCAGCACCTTTTCAGAGGAACTTCGTGAGGAAAAAGAGAGAGAATAGCACATGATCCCCTACCTTCTGCTCCAGGGTGCTTTAAAACTCCCACAGGTACCATCACAGTGGGAGGTGGAGAGCTCAGAGCTCCTGAGGCCTGAGCTTGCTGCAAGGGAGGGATAGTAGAACAGTATTCAGCAGGATTGTTAGGGTTAGGGCTCTGGCTTGAGGCACTCATCATGTTCTCCCAGGCTTGAGCTAAAGCAAATACAGACACAATCAATGTGAATGGATTGCAAAATATGGACATCAAGACCTCCACAATATTGGATAAATAATGCAGCTTCTCCTAATTAATACTCATAGTATGTCTCTCTTCCACCTAGTGAAGGTATTAAAGAGATAGGTGATTTTATGTAATAAAGGAGACCATTTAGCCAAGTAAACTATTTGGTTGGAGCAAATAAGAGTAACATGATTTTTTTTTTTTTTTTTTTTTTTTTTTTTAAAGAATTAGACCGGGAGTGGTGGCTCATGCTTCTAATCCCGGCACTTTGGGAGGCCGAGGCGGGTGGATCACGAGGTCAGGAAATCAAGACCATCCTGGCTAACGTGGTGAAACCCCGTCTCTACTAAAAATACAAAAAATTAGCCAGGTGTGGTGGCAGGCACCTGTAGTCCCAGCTACTTGGGAGGCTGAGGCAGGAGAATGGCATGAACCCGGGAGGTGGAGCTTGCAGTGAGCCAAGTCACACCACTGCACTCCAGCCTGGGCAACAGAGCAAGACTCCATCTCAAAAAAATTAAAAATAAAAAAGAATTATAGGATACTTCTGATAGACTGATAGCAGATCAATCTGAGTTAAAGGTTGGAGCCTGGTTTCTTTATAGGAGACCAAACATTTCCTTAAGAGGGAGTCAAACAACATCAAACTTTAAGAATTTGAAACTTGGATAGCATTTAGACATTTTTTCATTTAATATTTAATGCATTTTATAAAGTTCTATCAAAAAGCAAAATCAGGGGCTAAAATAGAATAACTCTACTGTAAAATTTTAAGTTTCATTTCTAAACTTTTAAGGCTCTTGTTAGTTAAAATAAAATCTCATTAAAAATTTCTAAAGCCTAAAGCTCAGGAGGACACATCTCAATCTTTTTCTGAATTCTGCTTTTATGTAATCATCACCCTGTATAAAACTATCCATCAGTAACAACCATTTCACATCTTTGGTGTGTCTCAAAAGCACAGGACCTATTTGAACATGAAAATGTGCCAATATCATGTAAGTGTGATCAACCAATATAAATGATCACAAATACATTAAGATTCTGTGTACCCTATAATTTCACTAAATACTGACACATCACCTATCGCCTTTAAAGCAAATAGGATGAAAGGTGCTACAGAAATGAAAGATACCAAATTTTATCTTCTAGGTTCAGGTAATACCACATGCCCAGAAATAGAAGCCACCCTCTTTTTAAGCATCCTTTCAAAAATCTCTTTCAACATCAAAGAATGATCCATAGGATTTTGAATATTTATTGCCTCCAAACTGCAAGACAAGGCTAGTAACAAAAGCTATGTTCCTTTGAAAGCACTGGCAGAAAGAGGGGAGGAAGAGAAAAGGAGAAAGGGAAAAAGGGATAGGGAACACCGAAAAGCATCAAATTAAATATTAAGAAAAAGACCGGGCTAAGCCATGCGAGAGGAAAGACACTGGAAAAACCAGGAAAAGTGGATTACCTTAGGATCCCCTGTTAAGGGCCTCCTTGGCTTAATAAAAAGTAAGTATTCCATGTGAATCCTCTGCCATTTCCTTCATCTTTAGCTATGCCAAGTTAAAAAAATTAGCTATCAAGTTGGAAGATCTCATCAAATAAAAGAGGTATTAGGTACTATAATTAAGCAGCATGCTCTTATCTGTGAATATGTGCCCGAAAATGAAAGCAGCAGAATAAAAATCATCAATTGAGCAACCAAGTGAAATAACCACTATTTAAAAAGTAACCCTTAAGAGTGGAGAGAATGATTCATATTTGGTCAAAATTGTAAGAATTCAGAAATGGGAGGAAACTGGGTGGATCATAGGAAATTAGAACAGATCAGATTAACTGTCATGCAACAGGTTAATAAGCCAGCAACAAGAAAACATCACTATCAGCAATGCAGACGGACAGAGCAGGAGGGGTCTCAGAGCAGATAAGTTCCAGCCTCCAGGAGGCACACTATCCTGGCACAGGTAGCACTGGTGTTCAAGTTCAACATTTTATGTCTATTAGTAATTGTTCCAGTAACTGTACAAAGATGCATTCAAAGAGAAAATACTATAACCTGAACAATTTTAGTGTATCTTTTTACAAGAATACTCAGGGTTTTTAACTAATATGCCCTTAAAATCATTTCCAGTCCAGCAAAAGATGAACACTGGGTAAGTTTTATTTACTTTCCCCGGCCATATTCTTTTTACCACGTAACAACTAGATTCTAAACCATTATTCTCATAGCAAATCTAAGTAGCATTAAAGAGATAAATGGGCTTTAAAAATGCAATTTTCTACTTGGTCCTAGATGCTAAAATAGTTATCTTCAACAAGATGAATGAAACAAGGTGTTGATAAGAACACATGCTAAGTTATTAAGTTGTTCCTTAGAAAGAGATGGCTTCTCTTAAAAGGAAAATCTCAGCCCAGTTTTAACATCTTATCATCTGGTGATCAAAAGCTCCCCATTCCCACCTCACTCTGGTTATTTTATAGGAACACAAATAACTACCTCGCACCAGATTTCCAAAGAACTTCCATTATTCCTGCAAAACTTACCTGGCTTTAGCATTTATTCATTAAATTAGGCACAGGAATTCTGAAATGCTAAGATACTTTCAAAACATGGAAATTTAGCTAAATATTTTCAGTTAAAGTTATGACATTTGAGAAGGTGAGCAACTTGTAAAGAAAGGCAGGGGGAAAAAAGTCTTCTCATCGTAATTCCCTTGTTTTGTCTCAATAACTATGAAATCAACCTGTTTTAATACTTACCATTCATTAGCACTGAATGGCAGATTACACACACTCTAGCTTCCTTTCTGTCCATGTATAACAGTTTACATTTCAGGCTACAGCAGGAAGCACAGAAAACCTGTGGGGGGGGGGGGGGGAAGAACACACAAAATTTACTTGGGATTGCCATGCAAAGAGAGTGAACCAATATTGACAAACACTGATTGTCAGTGAACCTTATTAAACTACAATACTAAAGTTTCAAAGAAAATGTAGTTCAGGAAGTTGGGTAATTCAAAAGCAAGAGTGAGATTACAAGTCTGTCAACAATAAAGAAATGGGAAACATTGGCTGAAAATAAAAATCTTAACTAAGATCACGTGGCAAATATACAGCAGTGGGGAAAAAACCACCTGAATTACCCCTAGGCAAGATTTCTATGCACACAATCACCTAACATGGGTGTTGAAAGATAGTTACATGTGCTATTTCCGTTTGGAAAGGAATTATAGCAGGATGAAATAAACAAAGATTGGAATTTCTGTGTTTTAACTTCTGTTTGTTACTATCCTTATATGTGGAATAATAACTATACCAGCTGTTTTCACTGTTTTTGCTATGAAGGCCAAGGGTCAATATATACAACTCAATCATAAACAAACGCACTGCTTTAGCTACAGGAAATCACAGCAGGCAATCAAAATCTGCCATGCCAATTTCCACCTTCTGGGCTTGGTTCCTGGTAATCTCACTTCCTTCTCCCCTCTACACCAGGCAACAACAATCTCCTTTGTTCCTGTTAAGATTTCTTTTCTTTTTTTTTTTTTTTTTTTGAGACACAATTTGACTCTGTGGCCCAGGCTGGAGTGCAGTGGTGCGATCTTGGTTCACTGCTGCAACCTCCACCTCCTGGGTTCAAGTGATTCTTCTGCCTGAGCCTCCTGAGTAGCTGGGACTTCAGGTGTAAGCCACCACGCCTGGCTAATTTTTTTTTGTATTATTAGAAGAGACGGGGTTTCACCATGTTGGCCAGGCTAGTCTCAAACTCCTGAACTCAAGTGATCCACCCACCTCGGCCTCCCAAAGTGCTGGGATTACAGGCGTGAGCCACCACACCCGGCCAGATTTATTTTCTTGAGAACTCATCAGTCATTTACCACATAGAGCCTTACAGTGGCAAAAGCCTGTTCCCAGTAGGATAAATTCTACTTCTTCAGTTTTTACAGCCAAGAAGCATCCTATACTTTACAAAGTTGAACCAAGAGATGAGGGGTCATATTAAAGTCTAAGTTAAGCTCGATATCTCCCATCCTTCTATGTATAATTAATATCTAGTTACTATGACTGTTATCAGTTTACAATTTTTATAGGGCTTGACATTCTTAAATGTGATATAGGGAGATATCCCTGTGATACAGGGAGAACAAAGGGTATACATATTATCCTTATTTTCTATCAGAAGAAACTGAGTTTAGATGGTTAAATGACTTCCTCAAGTTCACAGCAAACTATATGACTACTAGGCACTTTACATGTGTTACATTTAACCTCAAAAATTCCATGAAGACACTCATTTACAATTAGCAGTTAGGTAAACAGATGAATGTTCCAAAACTCCTATGTTGAAATCTTAACCCCAAAAGAGATGGTATTAGGTAGTGGGGCATATGGGATTAGTGCCCTATAAAAGAAGCCTGAGGGAGACTCCTCACCCTTCTGCCCTGTGAAGTTAGAGTGAGAACACAGCTGTCTATAAGTAAGCAGGCCCTCGCCAGATACCAAATCTACCGTTGCCTTGATCTTGGACTTACCAGGCTCCAGACTGTAACAAATCTCTGTTATTTATAAGCCATCTAGTCTATGGTATTTTGTTATAGCAGCCCGAATGGACTAAGACATTAAGTAAAATTACCAGGGTCATACAGCTAGTAAATTACATGATTAATCTGTATGACTGCAATGGCTCTATAGTTAACTACTCTGTAATACTACTTCATACTAAATTACATATTTCATTTAAATTTTGAGTCTTGACTTTTCCTTCTCCCTCGCCATGACCACATCCAGTCAGTCATTAAGTCCTGTTAGTTTTCCTCTGAAATTGTTCTTCCAAAATCACATCTTCTCCTATCTCTAACATTGCTGCCTCTGTTCAGGCTGTTATTATCTGAGGACTAAACGATCATGATGATAACCTAACTGTTCTCCTAATCTTCACATCTGCCTTTCCAATTAATCTTCCAAACAAAGACTGAACTTTCTAAAAAATAAATCTAATAATGTTAAATTTCTTAAAATCCTTCAATAACCTTTCTAATAAAGAGACAAAACCAAGAATCCATCATTCACTCATTTATTCCACAAATATATGAACTCTTACTATGTACTGGGCACCAAGCTACCCAATGGGGATGTGGCAGAAAACAAAACGGACATGGTCCTTGCCTTCATGCAATGCAATTTAGTGCAAGGGTTTCAGGTTATAACCTAAAATCAAATAATAACACAAGGCTGGGCATAGAGGAGTACACCTATTGTCCCAGCTACATGGGAGGCTGAGGCAGGAAGATGGCTTGAAGCCAGGAGTTTGAAGACACACTACACTATGACTGCACCTGTGAATGGCCACTGCACTCCTGTCTGGGTAACACAGCAAAACCCTGTCTCAAAAAAAAAAAAAAAAAAGAAAGAAAGAAAAAGAAAAACCATACAAGTGAATATAAATCACGTGTTTCAAAAGTGGTAAATGGTGAAATAAGATCATGTAATCTAGGCTCTAGCCTAGATTGGCAAGGTCAGGGAAGATTTAGGAAATGACAAGACATCAAATCTGAAGGATGGGTAAGAGTTTTCTGTGAACAAAGAGGTGCCAAGAAGAGACAGTAATAGTAGAGGAAATAGTATGTACACAGTTCCTATTAGGGGAAGAAGCATGGACCCACCAAATAACTAAAAAAAGTTAATATGGCTTGAGGCCCCAAGAGTTAAGGGATGCATGGAATATGCTGAGGCCAGACCAAGCAAAGGCTCTGTAGGATCTGTTTTGACCTTTTTAATAGAGCAATGGGAAAGCCCTTAAGCATTTTTTTTTCTTTGAGCTAGAGTCTTGCTCTGTCGCCCAGGCTGGAGTGCAATGGTGTGATCTCAGCTCATTGCAACCTCCGCCTCTAGGGTTCAAGCCATTCTCCTGCCTCAGCCTCCCAAGTAGCTGGGATTACAGGTGTGTGCCACCATGCCCAGCTAATTTTTGTATTTTTAGTAGAGATGGGGTTTCACCAGGTTGGTCAGGCTGGTCTTGAACTCCTGACCTCAGGTGATCTGCCCGGCTCAGCCTCCCAAAGTGCTGGGATTACAGATGTGAACTACCGTGCCCAGCCCCCACTTAAGCATTTTAATCAAAGAGAAAGACATGATCAGATCTGTATGGGCACAGTGTAGGGAGAAAAAAAAGGAAGAGAATAAGAATGGATTTGGGAAACCTTAATGAGCTACTACAATTATTACAAAAAAATTAATTTATGATAAAAACATGAGCTTCAATAACCAACAAATACCTCCAAGGAAATAAGGCAAAGAACTCACATTGGTAAATACACAGAAAAAATAAATAAAATGGCCAACAGATATAGTAAATACCACACATGACAAAATAAAACAATGAGTTTTATAGTATGTTTTTACTATGAGACTAGCAAAGATTTTTTTTTTAAACACTGATAATATCTAACGGTGGTGAGGGTATAGCTCTTAGATTCTGCTGGTAGTAATATACGCTGGTAGGTTAATTTGACAATATCTTTTAAAATTGGAAGTGTTTATTCAGTATGACTCAGCACACAGTTTTAAAATTTTACACTACTGAAAACATCCACATGTGCAAAGAGATCTACACAAGAATTATCTCCATATTGTTTATAATAAAAGTTGTAAACAACCCAAGTGTTCATCAGTAGTGTAACAGCTAATTAAACTGCAGTATACCCATAAAATGGAATCCCGTTCCCATAAAAAGAATGAAATAGTTCTGTATGTACCGATTGACATGGAAAAGAAAAATATAGTCAAGTTGGAGGATGAGATTGGAATGGAAGTAGGGCCTTTTTCTTTTTTATTTTTAGACACAGTCTTGCTGTGTCGCCCAGGCTGGAGTGCAGTGGCACCATTTCAGCTCACTGCAACCTCTTCCTCCCAGGTTCAAGCGATTCTGGTGCTTCAGCCTCCTGAACAGCTGGGATTACAGGTGTGCACCACCATGCCCAGCGATTTTTTTTTTTTTTTTTTTTTTTAGTAGAGACAGGGTTTCGCCATGTTGGCCAGGCTGGTCTCGAACTTCTGACCTCAAGTGATCTGCCCGCCTGGGCCTCCCAAAGTGCTGGGATTACAGGCATGAGCCACCACAGCTGGCTATCTTTTCTCTCCTTTTACTTTATATAATTTTTTAAATGTTGTATTGGGATATTTTTATTTTATTTTGATTAGTTTTTTCTGTACTTTTTAAATTAGAAAAAAATTTAAAAAAATTAGTTGCTTTTATGGGTTGAACTGTATCCCCCACAAATACTTAAGCTGAAGTCTTAACTCCTAACACCTTAGAATGTGACCTTATTTGAAGATAGGGTCTCTACAGAGGTAATCAAAATGAAGTGATTAGGGTAGTCTCCTAATCCAACATGACTGATACCCTTATAAAAGAGGCAAATATGGACACAGGTATACATACAAGAACACCACCATATGAACATGAAGATGTCGATCTACAAACCAAGGAGAGAGACATGGAAGAGATCTTTTCCGTACAGCCCCCAGGAGGAACCAACCCTGCTATCACCTTAATTTCAGACTTCTAATAACTGTGAGATAATAAATTTCTGCTTAAGCTGCCCAATTTGTGGTATTTTGCTAACTGTAGCAAACTAATATAGTTGGGAACATTCAGAAGTAGTGAGTTAGGCTTTGGGACAATAATCTCAAATAATGATTTTTGAATAAAAAACAAAGTATCTTAAAAAAAAAAAAGCAAGCAAGGGAGCAGCAAATGGAGTAAACACAGAAGAACCCAAGAATACCCATCTTTCTCAATATCCCACAGGCCGAAGAACAGTATAGAGAGATCCTTTACGTTTCCAATGAGATTAGAGGAAAGCACAGGAGTTAGCTAGAAAAGTAGATGACTCTTCAACGCCAGACTATGACGTAGTGAGATTCATAGGTCATAAGAATTAGTATCACAGAGGAGATGGGCAGAATCTAAGAGATTTGAGCCAGGTTTGGGATAGTTTAAATAATCCTGAATTTGAAATTACTGGATAATAGTCAATTTTGCCTAAAAAGATCAAGATGAAATTGTCTACCATGAGCCAGGTTAGTCAGTGCTTCTCAACAGGGGCACTCTTGGCATTTTAGGTGGGCCAGTTCTTCATAGGACAGTACTGTCCTGGGCATAGCAAGATGTTTAGCAGTCTTGGTATGCACAGGTTGCTAAATGCCAGTAGCAACCTCAGTCATTCTGACAACTAAAAATACCCCACTATATTCCATATACCATCTAAGTACCTTCCCCAGTTCTCTAAGCTACAGGCTTAGAGTAAAAAAGTAAAGTCAGTTCTAAAAATTAAGAAAATTACATATTTGCACACCTGAACTTAAATTATACTGCTGAAATATCTTACCATATGCCATATATCTTTATCACAACACAATCTACTGCACTGATTGAACTTATTCTCCATTTCCCCACACTAGAATGTAAACTCCATGGAATAATGAGCTAAATTATTTTTAATACTGGTATCTTCAATATTGTGTCTGAAACATAGTACTCAGTAAATATTTGCTTATTGCTTCCTTGAAAAGTAAAGTTATTGCATAAATAAATGTATGACTGGGACTAGGTGCAGTGGCTCATGTGTGTAATCCCAGCACTTTGGGAGGCCAAGGCAGGTGGATCACCTGAGGTCAGGAGTTTGAGACCAGCCTGGTGAAATATGGTGAAACCCTATCTCTACTAAAAATACAAAAATTAGCCAGGAGTGGTGGCAGGCGCCTATAATCCCAGCTACTCAGGAGGCTGAGGCAGGAGAACCCAAGAGGTGGAGGTTGCAGTGAGCAGAGATCGCGCCACCGCATTCCAGCCTGGGAGACAAGAGCGAAACCCCGTCTCAAAAAATAAATAAATACATAAATACATAAATGTATGAATGGAGAAACAAACATTAATGTAAACTTTTTGGGGAAGGACTATATGATTCATATCCAAATTCAGAAAATAATCTAGAGCCATTCAACTTTTGCAACAACACATTTTAATCTGTTTATAAGAATGACCTCAAGATTTTTATGCCTAATGGTTACAGCTGACATCATATGGCAGGATCCGTATGACCTGCCTAAGCATAAAGAGACAAAGTAAGGTAATTTATAATATATATTCTATACGATGTTCCAGCTAAGTACTGGTTAAAAGGTTCCATTTGTGTGTTTATATGTAATTTTTTTAAATGTGGCACTTCTGTGTTCCTATTTCAACTTGATTATTCTCTAGTCAGATGACCTTATGGGAATAATTTAAACTCTCTAGGTCTTAGTTTTTCTCACATGTAAAATAGAAATGCTAATACAGTATTTCCTTCATATGGCTTTTATGAAGATTAAATGAAATTATATGTATAAAATGTAGCATATAATAGGTTCTAAATGTATGTTGGTACCTTTCTTATTTCCCTTTCCTTTCCTTTTAAAATTTCCCACTACAGGCTTTCCACATAACAAATCCTATTGCTAAATCTGTGAACATGCTTTATATTCAAAGTACCACTTTGTGCCTATTTATACCCTCTTACAGTGTGAATAACACTTATTCCTTTGCAATTCTTGAAAATTCAAATCATCAAATGCTCACTTATTTCTTTCCAAATTAGAAAATGCAAAAAATGATGTCCCAGGTCTTCAAAAAGCCCTATAATTATGACAAAAATAACTGTGATGTGAGAATAATAAAAACAGGAGAGGAGAGTGCATAGAACTGACCAGTGTCCAGCTGTTCACAAAGACCAGTGAAAGTAACAACTTATAAAAATTGTCAAATGCAGGAGTACTTTATCCCTCCACTTATTAGCACATAGCAAAAATCAGTATCATAAGATCTAAAGCAGTTCAAACAAATCCAGACCCTTGCCTCTGTCTAAACACCTGTTTAAACTTCACTGTTATTAATAGAAAACAATAATAATTATCAGAGTCATTTTAAGTGTCCATTACAGAAAGGGTTAAAAGAGATCTCTAATTCAGACTTTCAATATTATATCCAACTGAGGCTGTACCAGCCCAGCCAACATGGTGAAACCCCATCTCTACTAAAAATATACAAATCTGCTGAGCGTGGTGGCACATGCCTGTAATCCCAGCTACTTGAGAGGCTGAGGCAAGGAAAATTGCTTAAACCTGGGAAGGGAAGCAGAGGTTGCAGTGAGCTGAGGTTGTGCCACTGCACTCCAGCCTGAGCGACAAGAGCAAAACTGTCTCAAAAAAGAAAAAGAAAAAAAAAAGAGCCGGGCATGGTGGCTCATGCCTGTAATCCCAGCACTTTGGGAGGCTGATGTGGACAGATCACAAGGTCAGGAGTTCAAGACCAGCCTGACCAACATGGTGAAACCCCGTCTCTACTAAAAATACAAAAATTAGCTAGGCGTGGTGGTGGCACACGCCTGTTATCTCAGCTACTTGGGAGGCTGAGGCAGGAGAATCACTTGAACCCAGGAGGTGGAGACTGCAGTGAGCTGAGATCGCGCCATTGCACTCCAGCCTGGAAGACAGAGCGAGACTCCATCTGAAAGAAAGAAAAGAAAGAAAGAGAGAGAGAGAGAGAGAGAAAGAAAGAAAGACAGAAAGAAAGAAAGGAAAGAAGGAAGGAAGGAAGGAAGGAAGGAAGGAAAGAAAGAAAGAAAGAAAAGAAAAGAAAAGAAAAGAAAAGAAAAGAAAAGAAAAGAAAAGAAAAGAAAAGAAAAGAAAAGAAAAAAGCAAAATAGCTCAAACTCAATGAATTAAAAAAAATTTTTTTTGAGTCAGAGTCTCTCTCTGTTACCCAGACTAGAGTGCAGTGATGCAATCTCGGCTCACTGCGACCTCCCAAGTAACTGAGACTACAGGTACGCGCCGCAATACCCAGCTAATTTTAGTATTTTTAATAAAGATGGAGTTTTGCCACGTTGCCCAAGCTAGTCTTGAACTCCTGACCTCAGGTGATTCACCTGCCTCGGCCTCCCAAAGTGCTGGGATTACAGGCATGAGCCACTGCATCCAGCCTAAAATTACTTTTTTTTTTTTTTTTTTGAGATGGTTTTGCTCTTGTTGCCCAGGCTGGAGTGCAATGGTGCGATCTCGGCTCACCGCAACCGCCGCCTCCCAGGTTCAAGCGATTCTCCTGCCTCAGCCCCCTGAGTAGCCGGGACTACAGGCATGTGCCACCATGCCCGGCTAATTTTGTATTTTTAGTAGAGTCAGGGTTTCTCCATAGGTCGGTCAGGCTGGTCTTGAACTCCCGACCTCTGGTGATCCGCCCGCCTCAGCCTCCCATAGTGCTGGGATTACAGGCATGACCCACCGTGCCTGGCTCTAAAATTACTTTTTAAAAATATGTTTCCTTCAGACATATCTGTTTTTATGCCCAAGAATAATTTAATTGTAAACAAAGCATAAGCTTGCATTCTGTTCTATTCATATGTCATCATAAGCATTTTCTACACTGCCTTGTAATAATTTTTAATGGCTGAAGCAAATATATGTATTGTACTTAACTTACCATTAACCTTTTTTTTTTTTTTTTGAGACATGGTCTCGTTTATCACCCAGGCTGAAGTGTACTGGCACAATCATGGCTCACTGCAGCCTCGACCTCCTGGGTTCAAGTGATCCTCCCAACTCAGCCTCCCAAGTAGCTGGGACTACAGACATGCCCTACCATATCCAGCTATTTTTTAATTTTTAGCAGAGATATTATGTTGCCCAGGCTGGTCTCGAACTCCTAAGCTCAAGGAATCCTTCCACCTCAGCCTCCCAAGTAGCTAGGACTACAGGCATGTACCACCACATCCCGCCATTTTTTAATTTTTAGTAGAGATGAGGTCTCACTGCGTTACCTGGGCTGGTCTCGAACTCCTGAGCTCAAGTGATCCTCTCACCTTGGCCTCCCAAAGGGCTGGGATTACAGGAATGAGCCACCACACCTGGCCCATTATCCAATTTTGGACACAAATTACTTTAAATGTATTTGCTATTTAGTAACACTAAAATACACATCTTTTTGTTTACTGCACTTGTTTTAAGAATTATTTACTCAAAAAAGGAATCATTAGCTCAAAAAATTGGAACATACGTCCCCTTTTGTTTGGCAGAGATGAGGTCTTGCCATGTTGCCCACACTGCTCTTGAACTCCTGGGCTCAAGCGATCTGCCTGCCTCGGCCTCCCAGAGTGCTAGGATTTACAGGTGTGAGCCACCACGCCCAGCCACACATATGGCTTTTTTTTTTTTTTTTTAGTAATGTAAAATATGTGAGCTTTATTACATGTTAAAGATAATATGACCCAAATTTATCAAAATTACAATAAAATATTTTTAAATATATATAAAGTTGCAAATAACTGATGTTTTTTTCAATAAAGGTAACTGATATACTATTTAAAGACAGGATAAAACAAAGATACGTTTAATGACTTCCATATCATTTTAAAGTCACCTTATTGAACAATACATCATGAAATCTATAGTTGTACATCTAGGAAATTTACCAATGGCGCTCTCTTCTACCAGTGTGTATATTTTAATTTGTCTCATATGGGTGGGTGTCTTTTCCATTTTGATGACTGGCTAGAACAGCAATCTGTATCATTAACGTCCAAGTTGGCTTCCTATGATTATCAGTTAAGGGAATATGAATCCAGCCACTTGGTTCCACCAATTCAAGTTGCCGAATTTCTTGAAGGTTGTGAAAATTATTTCCTACTTTGGCTGAAATCTTGCTTGGAGTATAGCTTTCATCAGATTTGTAGTCTGCATAAATATATAATGTCTTAACTGTTGTTTTTCTTCTGAATTGGATGTTCACTAAATGAGGCTGGGAGCCATCTGATTGCCAATAAGTTTCTAGATTGTCATCTCGTAACTGATCCACTCCAAATCCTGGTTTGCAAGATGAGAGTGACCAAACAGCTTGTGACCCAATTTCCCGTACTGTTCCAGTCTTTTCCAA
Source organism: Homo sapiens (assembly GCF_000001405.40). Classification (NCBI taxonomy): domain Eukaryota; kingdom Metazoa; phylum Chordata; class Mammalia; order Primates; family Hominidae; genus Homo; species Homo sapiens. Next base: position 52,253,665 of record NC_000001.11, on the reverse strand, counting down.
CTGCTCAGGGTCAGTACCAGGAGGTGCCTTGTTTGGTGTGGTCATTTTTTAAGTATTCTGGCTGCTTGCCAAAACTCAGGTTCTCAGGATCTCCAGCAGCTCTGTGCCACTCCCACTCGGCTTCCTAGGACAGCCTGGGTTCCCCAGCGACCCACGTGTGGCTTTTTAAATGTGTAAATATGCCAGTGTCAATTTCACTATCTATCATACTATCAACATTTTCTATTTTTTGTTATATAGGCATAAAATTTTAAAAATTTTAATTTCTACCTCTTAGTATCTAGTAAATTAAAATATTTCTCCATTGTTTACTAACCCATCTAAACATCTTTTTGCCCATTTATATATTGAAAATGTGATGGTTTTAAAAACTAATGTAGATGCTGTAAATAATAAAGACACTTGGCCAGTTGATACTGTATAACCAACTTCTGATTTGTTCTGCCAGAGGAAGCATTGATTTAAGACTCGATATACAACAACAACATAAACTGTGTTTTTCTTTCTTTTTTGAGACAGGGTCTCACTCTGTCACCCAGGCTGGAGTGCAGTGGTGTGAGCACAGCTCACTGCAGCCTCGATTACCCTGGGCTCAGGTGATCCTCTTGAGTAGCTGGGACTACAGGCACATGCCACCATGCCCAGGCTGGTCTAGAATTCCTGGGCTCAAGTGATCTGCCTGCCTTGGCCTCCCAAAGTGCTGGGATTACAGGCGTGAGCCACCGCACCTAGACTGTTTTTCAAATAATCCTCTTGTTTAAAAAAATTATAATCCAGTGTATTGTGCTTGCCATCGGTGCCTGTGTCACTCTCTGGTAAAGGTGTGTCATTGTTGGCCGCAACCTCTGGGCTGGGATGAGCCATGCTCCTGGTGCAGTAGGGGAGCCCAGCCATGGCCAGTACAGTGGTAGCAGTCGGACTGACCATTGCTGCTGCAGGATTTGCAGGCTGTTATGTTTTGCAACCCTTATATAAGGCATGTGGAACCTCAAGTAAAACAAATTTTTCGGCCAGGCGTGGTGGCTCATGCCTGTAATTCCAGCACTTTGGGAGGCCAAGGTGGGCGTATCATGAGGTCAGGAGATCGAGACCACCCTGGCTAACACAGTAAAACTCGTCTGTACTAAAAATACAAAAAATTAGCTGGGTGTGGTGGCATACGCCTGTAGTCCCAGCTACTTGGGAGTCTGAGGCAGGAGAAACACTTGAACCCAGGAGGCAGAGGTTGCGGTGAGCCGAGATTGCGCTATCGCACTCCAGCCTGGGCAACAGAGCAAGACTCCGTCTCTAACAAAACAAAACAAAACAAAACAAAACAAAAAAACCCCAAAACAAACAACAACAACAACAACAACAACAAAACAAATTTTTCAAAGTCTACCAAAATCTGCCTTCAGTGGTGGCTATTACAGAGGTATGTTTGAACCCGAAACGACAAAATGGAAAGCAGCATTAATAGTAGCTGTAAGCACTACTGCCAATAAAGAGAAAATAAGAGGTGCTCATTGACAAATGATGCTCTTAAATCATCCAGGTAGATCTTCTGCTATCATAACCAAAAATAAATGGAGCAAAAGATTTACTAGAATGTCAAGCTAAAAAATGAAGTAAATGTATGAATTTTAAGTTCATATTACTTTATGTATATGAGTACCAATTTTTTGTAAAAAAAAAAAAAATGCCTCAACGCTACAACAAAAATGTGACTTACCTAGATTAAATGGATAAACTTCTAAAAACACAAAACCTACCAAGACTGAATCAGTAATAAACAGAAAATCTGAATAAACCTATAACTAGTGGGGAGACTGAATCAGTAATCAAAAACTTCCCAACAAAGTAAAGCCCTAGATCAGATGATTTTGGTGGCAAATTCTACCAAACATTTAAAGAACACCAATCCTTCTCAAACTCTTCCAAAAAATTGAAGAGGAGGAAATACTTCCTAACTCCTTCTGTGAAGCCAGCACTATCTTGATACCAAAACAAGGCAAACATATTATAAGAAAACTATAGACCAATATTCTGTATGAATGTATACTGATACAAAACTCAAGAAAATAATAGCAAATTGAATTGAACATATTGATAGAATTATACACCATGACCAAGTGATATTTATTACTGGAATGCAAGGATAATTCAACTTATGAAAATCAATTAATGTAATCACATTACCTGAACAAAATGAAACAAAAAACCCCAAATGATCATCTCAATTCATACAGAAAAAGCATTTAACAAAATTCAACACTCTTTCATGATTTAAAAAAAACTTTAAAAAACCCTAGTAACAGAAGTAAATTATCTCAGCATAATAAAGGCCATATATTAAAAACCCAGAGCCAACATCATATGCACTGGTAAAAGACCGAAAGCTAGCCTGGCCAACATGGTGAAACCCTGTCTCTACTAAAAATACAAAAATTAGCCAGGCATGGTGGCATGTGCCTGTAATCCCAACTACTCAGGAGGCTGAAGAAGAAGAATTGCTTGAACCCGAGAGGCAGAGGTTGCAGTGAGCCAAGATCGCGCCACTGCACTCCAGCCTGGGTGACAGAGCGAGACTCCATCTCAAAAAAGAAAAACAAAAAACAAACAAACAACAACAACAACAACAACAACAACAACAACAACAAAAACGACTGAAAACTGGCCAAGCATGGTGACTCACACTTGTAATCCTAGCACTTTGGGAGGCCAAGACAGGCAGATCGCTTGTGCCTAGACATTCAGAACCAGCCTGGGCAACACAGTAGACCTCATGTCTACTAAAAATAAAAAAAAATTAGCCAGGTGTGGTAGTGCACGCCTGTTAGTCCCAGCTACTTGGGAGGCTGAGGTGGGAGGATACCTTGAGCCCAGGAGGTTGAGGATGCGGTGAGCTGAGATCATGGCAGTGCACTCAAGCCTGGGTGACAGAATGACACCCTGTCTCAAAAAAAAAAAAAGACTGAAAGAACTTTTGCTTTAAGATAGAAACAAGACAAGGATACATACTTTTGCCATATCTATTTAACATAGTATTGGAAATTTAGCCAGAGCAATTAAAAATAAATAAAAGGCACCCAAGTTGGAAAGGAAAAGGTAAAATTATCTCTGTATACTGACAACATATGCTACATTTAGAAAACCTTAAAGATTCCCCGCAAACACACAAAAACTGTTAGAGCTAATAAATGCGGCAAAGTTTCAGGATACAAAAATCAACAAAAAAGTCCATTGCATTTCTACATACTAATAATGAATTATCCAAAAATGAAATCAAGGAAACAATTCCATTTACAATAGCATCAAAAAGAATAAAATACCTAGAAATTAACTTAACCAAGGAGGTAAAATACTGTACAGTGAAAACTACAAAAGACAAAAGATTGCTAAAAGAAATTAAAGAACATACAAATAAATGGAAAAACATTCCATGTTCATGGACTAGAAGGCTTATTATTAAGATGTCAACAATGCCCATAGTGATCTACAGATTCAACGCAATCTCTATCAAAACCCTAACCATGTTTTCTGCAGAAACAGAAAAATCCATTCTCAAATTCAAATTGAATCTCAAGGGATCCAGAATAGCCAAAATAATCCTGACAAACTACAACCCCAGAGGACTCACATTCCATGTTTTCAAAACTTACTATGAAGCTATGGTAATCAAAACCATGTGGTACTGACATTAAAGACAGACATAAAGACCAATGGAATAGAAAAAAGCCCAGAAATAAACTCTCACTTATATGGTCCAGTTAGTTTTGACAAGAGTGCCAAAACCATTCCATAGGAACAGAACAGTCTTTCCAACAAATGATACTGAGAAAACCAGATATCCACATTCAAAAGAATAAAACTAAGCTAATACTATACACAAAAAATTAACTCAAAATGGATAAAAGACCTAAACGCAAGCACTAAAACTGCAAAACACTTAGAAGACAACATAAGGGAAAGACTTCATGACATCAAATTTGGAGATGATTTCTTTGATATGACACCAAAAGCACAGGCAACAAAAGAAAATGTAAGTTGGAGTTCATCAAAATTAAAAACTTTGGTGCATCAAAGGACAACAGAATGAAAAACCCAAGAATAAGAGAAAATATCTGCAAATCATTTATGTGATAGGAGACTGAATTATATATAAAGAGCTCTAAAACTCAACAACAGAAAACACAACCCAATTTAAAAATGGGCAAAAGACCTGAATAGACATTTCTCCAAAGATTTTTAATATAGAGACCAGTAAGTACATGAAAAGAGGCTCAACATCACTAACCATCAGAGAAATACAAACCAAAACCACAATGAGATACCACTTCACACCTATTAATATGGCTATATCAAAACAATAGAAAACAAGTGTTGACAAGTGTATTAGTCTGTTTTCACATTGTTATGAAGAACTACTGGAGACTGGATAATTTATGAAGAAAAGGGATTTCACTGACTCACAGTTCCACAGACTTAACAGGGAACATGACTGGAAGGCCCCAGGAAACTTACAATCATGACAAAAGGCAAAGGGGGAAGCAAGCACATCTTACCGTGGTGGAACAGGAGAGACAGAGCATGCAAAGGGGAAAGTGCCACATACTTTCAAACAACCAGATCTCATGAGAACTCACTATTATGAGAACAGCAAGGGGGAAATCTGCCCCCACTATTCAATCACCTCCTACCAGGCCCCTCCCCCAACACATGGGGATTACAATTCGAGATGAGATTTGGGTGGGGACACAGAGCCAAAGAAGATGTGGAGAAACTGGAGCTCTTGTGAATTGTTGACGGGAATGGAAAATTGTGCAACTGCAGTGGAAAAAGAATATGGTGCTTAATCAAAAAATCAAACACAGGACTACCATATAATCCAGCAATTCTACTTCTGGGTATATACACAAAGAACTGAAAGCAGGGACTCAAACAGATGCTTGTACACCCATGTTCATAGTAGCATTATTGGTAATACCCAAGAGGTGGAAACAACTGAAGTGTCCATTGATGGATAAATGAATTAACAAAATGTGGTACATACATACAATGAAATATTCAGACTTAAAAAGGAATGAAACTCTGATACACACTATGTGATGATTAGTATTAAGTGTTAACTTGACTGGATTGAGGAATGCCTAGATGGCTGGTATTGTTTCTGGGTGTCTCTGTGAGGGTACTGCCAGAGGAGACTGACATTTGAGTCAGTGGACTGGGAGAAGAAGACCCACTCTCAATGGGGGTGGGCACCATACAATCAGCTGCCAGTGCACTAAAACAAAGCAGGCAGAAGAAGCAAAGATAAGCCTGCTTGCTGAGTCTTCCTGCTTGCTTTCTCTTTTTCCTTGCCAGATGCTTATATCCTCTCCTCCTGCCCATGTACATCAGACTCCAGGTTCTTTGGGCTCTGGATTCTAAGACTTGCACTAGCAGCCTTCTGGGGGTCTCTCAGGCCTTAGGCCTCAGATTGAGGGCTGCACTGTTGGTTTTCCTGCTTTTGAGGCTTTCAAACTTGGGCTGAGCCCTACCACTAGCTTCTCTTTCCCGAGGTTGCCAATAGATTATTGTGGGAATTCACCTTCTAACCATGTGAGTTGATTCTCCCTAATAAACTCTCGTATATATACATATATCCTACCTATTAAAGTCATATATATATATCTATATATCTCCACATCCTATTGGTTCTGTCCTTCTGACTAATACATGCTACGACATGGATGAAATGTGTAGACACAAAGGTACAAACATTGTGTAACCACTCTTATATGAGGTACCTAGAATAGTGAAATTCATACAAACAGATGGTAGAATAGCAGTCACCAGGCATTAGGGGCAAGGAAAGATGGGAAGTTATTAAGTTTGAGATGATAAAAATGGCCAGGCACAGTGGCTCACACCTGTAATCCCAGCACTTTAGGAGGCCAAGACGGGCAGATCACCTGAGGTCAGGAGTTTGAGACCAGCCTGACTAACATGGCGAAACCCCGTCTCTACTAAAAATACAAAAATTAGCCAGGCATGGTGGTGGGTGCTTGTAATCCCAACTACTCGGGAGGCTGAGGCAGGAGAATCACTTGAACCCAGGAGGCAGAGGTTGCAGTGAGCCGAGATTGCGCCACTGCACTCCAGCCTGGGCAACGAAGCGAGACTCCGTCTCAAAAAAAAACAAAAAGCTCTGGAGATAGTTGTTATGGTTGTACAACAACAATGTGAATGCATGTAACGCCACTGAACCATATACCCTCAAACCCATATACACTGGTAAATTTTATGTTATGCATATTTTACAATAAAAAATTGTGACTAGTATTTAGAATGTATCAGCAGACTAGATATTGAAAGGGAGATGGCTTTCAGGAGAAGAGATGCAAAAAAACAAAAAATAGCATGAACTTAGTGCAAACATTTTCTAGCTACATGTGTTTTATCCCACTTTGCACCTAAGTTATCTGTTAATAACATTTGGTACTGAGTGAGGGCCTACTACTACCTTTCTGCTTCCCAAGGAGCCCAACCAGTGGCCATGTTTTAAAATCAAAGGCAGCCAGGAGCAGTGGCTCACACATATAATCCCAACACTTGGGGAGGCCGAGGTGAAGAGGATCCCTTGAGCCCAGGATTTCGAGACCAGCCTGGGCAACATTAAATTTTTTAAAAAATTAGTGGCCGGGCACAGCGGCTCACGCCTGTAATCCCAACACTTTGGAAGGCAAAGGTGGGTGGATCACCTGAGGTCAGGAGCTCGAGACCAGCCTGGCCAACATGATGAAACCCCGTCTCTACTAAAAATAAAAAAATTAGTCGGGTGTGGTGGCAGGTGCCTGTAATCCCTGCTACTTAGGAGGCTGAGGCAGGAGAATCGCTTGAACCCAGGAGGTAGAGGTTGCAGTGAGCCAAGATCTTGCTACTGCACTCCAGCCTGGGCAAGCAACAAGAGTGAAACTCCATCTCAAAAAAAAAAAAAAAAAAAAAATTAGTTACACGTGGTGGCACATGCTCGTAGCCCCAGCTACCCAGGAGGCTGAGGTGGGAGGATCGCTTGACCTTGGAAGGTCAAGGTTGCAGTGAGCCACCATCATGCCACTGCACTCCAGCCTGGGCAACAGACCAAGAGTTTGTCTCAAAAAAAAAAAAAACCCAGGAAAAAAAACAGGATAAAAAAAATCCTTAAGAAAACTGATCTCTGAAGGTATAAGCCAAAACATTATTTGTCTTAATGTGTTACTAATTCAGATTTTATGAAGGTTATTCTCTATTCACATCTAAATTCTCAAATGTTAAACAAAAATGACTTCAACTCAAGTTACCCAAAAATAAACTGCAACTAATTTAACACATAACTATTCAAAATAAAAATTTATATCTAATAAAATGTTAGATATTTTTCATCTTTCTTTTTGAAATAGTATTTAAGGCATTTGTTTTAAAAATTACGGCATAAAGGCCAGGCATGGTGGCTCACACCTGTAATCCCAGCACTTTGGGAGGCCAAGGCTGATGTATCAGTAGAGCCCAGGAGTTTTGAGACTAGCCCAGGCAACACGGTGAAATCCTGTCTCTACCAAAAAATACAAAAATTAGCTGGGTGTGGTGGTGTGTGCCTGTAGTCCCAGCTGCTCAGGAGGCTGAGGTGGGATAATTGCCTGGGCCCAGGAAGTAGAGGCTGCAGTCAGTTGAGATTGCATCACTGCACTCCAGCCTGGGCGACAGAGTGAGACCCTGTCTCCAAAAATTAAAAATAAAAATTATGGCATAAATGCAGACATTTCTCTCAGAAATGCAAAGAAAATAACATAAAGATCACCATAAAGAAACCTATTTGTTTTATTCTCTCAACTTTATTTATGGGAAAGAGCATGAGTTATACAGCTAGCAAGACTGTGTCAGGGTCCTACCGTATCAGTTTCTTCAATGTTAATTAGGGATACCATCAACTATCACACAGGTTTACCAGGAAGATTAAGTTAGATAATAAATAAAGCACAGAATAGGCACTAAACAAATGCTAGCTCCCTTTTGGTTCTAGAAGTCAAAGTCCCTGAGTTTGAATCGTAACTTCACTTACTGGCTGTGTGATTTTGAACAAGTTACTTAATCTTTCTAGGCCTATTTTGTCACTTGTAAATGTGGATTTTAACAGTAGCTAGCTACTTCATAGGGTTGTTATGTGTATTAAATAAAGTCTGTAAGTCTGGATTTAGAAAAGCGCCTGGCACATGGTAAACACTCAATAAATATTAGTATCTCATTCTCCTCACAACCACCACCACCACCACAATCTATCTGCTTCCCACTGCAGAGCATCTGCAGCTTTGTAACTGTTCATTTCTCATTTTATATCTTTAAGTCATCTACAGTAACATGAGTGGTATGTTTTACCAGGAGGCCCATTCTTTTCCTTTTTTTTTTTCTTTTTGCTTCTCTTTAGTAAAAAACAGAATACCAAGCAATAAGTAAATGCTCACTGAATGAAAGAACAAATAATATGTCATAATTTTTTTTTTTTTTGAGACAGAGTCTCTCTCTGTCACCCAGGCTGGAGTGCAGTGGCGTGATCTCGATCTCGGCTCACTGCAACCTCTGCCTCCTGGGTTCAAATAATTCTCGTGCCTCAGCCTCCTGAGTAGCTGGCATTACAGGCCCCTGCCACCACGCCCAGCTAATTTTTGTATTTTTAGCAGAGATGAGGTTTCACCATATTGGCCAGGCTGGTCTCGAACTCATGATCTCAAGCTATCCACTTGCCTCAGCCTCCCAAAGTGCTGAGATTACAGGCATGAGCCACTGCATCCAGCTAAAAGTTTTTTTAAATTGTTTTAAAAAAGAACAAATACATGGAAATAGGTAGACAGGTAGTAGCACAGACGGGTCCTACAGAACTCTTCTTGCTTCTCCAAACTAAAATGCTTGTATCGCAAAGATAATATAACAATTTCATCATATCTCCAAGGATAAATACTGATTCTAACCCATTAAGTCAGGACTGGACTAGATTATTTTTTAATTCATCTAACTGACTGAAAGTTTGATGCCAAGCACAAAGGGCTCTTGAAATTTCAATTCACTATTAGGCTTTACTTTTCCTCTCCAATGTAACTATCTCACTCTCCTCAAACCTTCATCATCTATCCCTATTTCACCCTTCACAATGTTTATATTTTCTATATGAAGTATAAGCCAATCAGGTGTAAATTTCTTCATGCTCTCACCACTAACTTCATAAACCAACCTCTGTCTAGCCCCACCCACTGAAGAGCAAATCCTCAACATGTTGTAGATCCCATCCCTTTGGCCTTCTCAAGGATTTTTCTCTTCCTTTGTTTAATCCTCCCTTTCTCCTAAAACTTCTTTTCTAGAGAATCACCCATACCACTATAAAAATACAACAGTATTTCCCATCCTCCAAAAAGGCATCCATAACCACCATCTCCATCTAATAATTGCTACAATTTTTTTCTGTTTTCATGGCAAAAGTTCTTGAAAAAGCCATCACCACTTCCTCCCTTCATATTCCACTTTCAACCCATTCCCATCTGGCTTCTGTAAACATTGCTCCACTCAATCAGCTTTTTTCAATGACCCTGTTATAGCCAAGTCCAATGGTCCCTTTCCTGTCCATATCTTACTGACAGTATTTTATATAGGTGATAAACCCTTTCACAAACTACATTCCTCTTTTGACTTCCAAGAGACCATATTTTCCTGGTTTTCTATTTACCTCTCCGCTCACTCCTTGGCAACTGGTACTGGGTCCTCCTCTGCTTGACCACATGGGCTCAGCCCTGAGTCTATTCTCTTCCCTTGGTAATCTCATCCACTCCCATGGCTTCCCACTGTGCTCCTTACATGACCTGCAAAGCTCTGCATCATCTATTCCTTAACTTCCTCATCAGCATTTTTTTTTTTTTAGTGGAGATGGGGTCTCAGCTCTGTCACTCTGGCTGGAGTACAGTGGCTATTCATAGACATGATCATAACATGCTCAGCCTATGGAGTAGCTGGGACAACAGGCCTGTGCCACCCCACCTGCTTTCCCATCTCTTTTTATGTGACTCTTCCCTCGTTCACTATACTGGAGTTCCTTCAGTTTGTTGAATAGGTGCCTTCTTAACCTCAATGACTTTGTCCATGCTGTTCTACTTCCTGCAGGAGTTCCTTCAGTTTGTTGAATAGGTGCCTTCTTAACCTCAATGACTTTGTCCATGCTGTTCTACTTCCTGCAGCATTTTTCTCTGTTCTTTGAAGAACTGACTCCTCCACCTTTATGTGTCAACCTTGATGTGTCAACCTTGAACTATGTCACTTCTCAGATGTCTTCTCATACCTTCTTCTCCCACCCCCATTTTTTATATTATCCCTCCTTATCTCCTTCATCGCCCTTGCCACAAATCATGTTTTTTTGTTTTGTTTTGTTTTTGTCACTGGCCTAATCTTTACATACCATGAGGGTGGGGAGCACAACATCATTGGTGTAAGCTCGGCACCCAGCACAGTGACAGACAAATAACAGGCACTCAGTGTTTGTTGAATTAATCAATGATCTGAGACTCATTTACTCACTCATTAACAAACATTTATTGAGTACTTCATAGGTGCCAGGTATTTGTGCTGGATGCTGGATACAAAGACAAATCAGAGGCAATCTCAAGATCTTTACAGCCTAATGGGGAACAAAGACAAAGACAATACTGCATGATAAGTGCTATGACATGGATGAGACCACTTTTAACCAATACAGCCTTTCAGAGGGTGTGTAATGGAAAATATTTCCCTGGGTTCAGCTTCACTAGAAACCAAGATTAATCTAAATGTTGGTTCTGTTTTTTTCATGCCAGATGGCTAAAATCACAATATCAATTACAAGGCAAGACAGATTTTCATGCAAAGTATGAGGGAAACTGTGAATTGCCATGTAATATTCTAAAGCAGCTACTTACTACTCTCATATCTATTCATTCCCATCAGTACATAAGAAACTAGGGAAAGAAACATTTTGGTTTGAATCTGTTCTTAAGTAGGAACAATACACATGACTAATTTAAAATATTTTCCAAAGTTCTTACACCCGTTATATCTAAATTTGATACCATCATCTAAAGATTGAAGGCACTGGATTTAAAAAAAAAAAAAGTACTGCTGCATTAAGAAACAGTATTCACTTATTGTTTAATTCATCTAACAAATATCTACTGAGCACCCGTATGTTCTAGGGCTGAGGATACAGCAGCAATCAAGGCAGAAAAAATCCTTACCCTCATCAAGCTTGGAACTGAATTACAAAAACAAATAATAAACTTAGATAAGACATAAATGAAATCATAATTAGAAAGTCAGTAGATTGGCCAGGCGCAGTGGCTCATGTCTGTAATCCCAGCACTTTGGGAGGCCAAGGCAAGTGGATCACTTAAGGTCAGGAGTTCCAGGCCAGCCTGGCCAACATGGTGAAACCCCGCCTCTACTAAAAATACAAAAACTAGCCAGGCCCGTTGGCGCATGCCTGTGGTCCCAGCTACTCAGGAGGCTGAGGCAGGAGAATTGCCTGAGCCCAGGAGGCAGAGGTTGCAGTGAACTGAGATCACGCCATACACTCCAGCCTGGGCAACAGAGACTCTGTCTCAAAAAAAAAAAAAAAAAAAAAAAGATTGCCATGACATCATAAATTCCAATTTATATACCTCTGAATCCCCATTACCTAGCCTAGAACCTTTTATATATTAGACACAATATATGCTTGTTGCAGTAAAGGGAATATAGCTATAAATATTAAGTAATTACTACGTATGCTTAATTTCTACTGAAATGGAACAAACTTTCTTTTTTTCAATATATAACATTATTTGGGGTATTTTTCTAGCTGCATTCTCAGCATAATCCAATTAGTATCTATGTTTATAAGCCCTTTTCTTCTGAGAAGCTCAAGGATTTTTACAGATATTATCTCATTAATACTTATAACATCTCTAAGGTAAACGAGGGAAAAAGATGAAATTATGAATCCATAAGCCACATGAATCCATGAATTCATAAATTCCACAAATTCTACTCAGCAAAAATTCCAACCATTTTGCAATTTATGATGCATTTTGTGCATCATTTTCTTTCTGAATCCATCTAAGGTACCTATTTACTCATTATAGCTGGATGTGCTGGCCTATACCAAAAATGTTTTCATTATTTACTTAAGAAAGCAAACACTTCAGAAAGTGTTACAGTAAGCAAAATACAGAACAACATAAAAATGATGAACCTAATCTACAAATAGTACTTCAGCTAACAAGAAGAAGACTGGAAAATATTTAGGAATTAGACATATTATTTTCTTCAAACTTTAGCAATCAGAGACCAACAAGCCCAGTGTCAGCTTTAGCTTCTTTCTGCTCCCTGTAATTTGGTTCTTTTGTGCTAGGATCTTCTAGTAAACCTTAGTGACTGCTCACCTAGGAACCATTTTCCTCCTCTCCTTTTTTTAAAATAAATTTTATTGTATACATTTAAGGTATACAACATGATGTTATGAGATACATCCAGACAGTAAAAAGGTTACTATAGTGAAGCAAATTAACCTATCTATTGTCTCACACAGTTACCCATTTTTGTGGCAAGAGGAACCAAAATCTACTCATTTTGCAAGAATCCCAAATATAGTATGATTTTATTATGCATAGTCCTCATGTAGTACATTAGACGTCTAGACTTACTCATCCTACATATCACTACTTCCCCTTCTCCTTTGTTAACAGAATCCCACTTTTTTTCAGGCAACACTGTGCTCAGCCCCAGGAGATAAATCATGATTGATTAGATAATCCCAGTCCCCTTTGCCTGTAATTGGTTATGGTCTAAAATTGGCCAATAAATTAAAGGAAGTTGCTGGAGGTCCCTTCCTCCCTGATAAGAGGGTGCCAAGAGTAGAGTAGGCTCTTTTGCCCCCCAGCCAGTTTCTTTGTGCTTAGGAAGTTGTCAGGTTGAGACCCGATAATTAGAACTGAGATACTATCTTCTGACATGAGGGGAAGACCGAGAGAACTTCCACGATCCTGTCTCTGCACCCAGACATAAATCACTGAGTCTCATAGCTTCTGTTTACATGAAATAAATGTTATTTTCACCTAAGTCACTGGGGGGTCAAACACTCTGTTCCTTGAAGTTGAAAGCACCCTAATTAATACAGATGGACCAAAAAATCAGGCAAGAAGGGAGGTAGAGATTAATCATTGAGCACTATGACTTCTGAGATCTCATTTAATCTTGACAACAGCCCAATAAAAGTTATTAATCTTTTTTGGTTTGTTTTTACAGATTATAAAACTAAGGCTTAGTAAAGTTATATAATTAATAGTAACAAAGCTGAAATTTTATTCTAGACCTGACACCATATCTCAAAAATATAAAATCTCCTTCCTTCCTTATTTACAACTCTAAACAAACAAACAAAAAAGATGTGTTTTTAGCTAACAAAATTTGGGGAGAGCTAAGGAATATCATTCTTACAACCTTGTCATAAAAATCTACAGACTTCAACTCTACTTTGTATCAAAGTTATATGGGAGAAAAGACAAAAATATGTGTGCATGTGTATAAAGAGTTCCAGAATGTTTTGTATAATGGCAAAAATCTCACAGAAAAAAGTAGGATGGATTCTATGTGTAATATTTTTCAACAATTAAATGTAATTTTTATTTTTATTTTTTGTATTTAAATGCATTTTTCAATAAATAATGCAATAAGTTAATGACAAATATTTCCTAAACTGAAAGAATAACTTCCTTATTTCAAACTATTACATTAACCAAGTAGCTATCAATACAGAAACCACAAAGTTTACACTTCCTCAATTCTCATCTCTTCATAAAAACTGATTCAGCATAAATCGTGGCAACAAAAAAAATTACAAATACTATCTAAGAATCAGTGACATCATTTTTTATATAGAAATTTACTAGAACTGGGTTTTCAAAAATGCTATTTAGGTCAACTCAACCAGACATATATTCACCTTACATTGCCTTTATTACTATTTAATTCAGCATTACAAAATGTGCATGCCCGATTTCTGAGTGTATACATGCAACTTACCTTCCCACATGCTCTGCAGTGATGCCTCCTTTTGGTGAATGTAAACCTGGCTTCACATTTCATGCAATTTGGAGCCTGAGAATCCGGTACCCATACTGGAGCCACCTCACCCAGAGTGGTGAATGGCTTTCTGGCAGAAATTCCAAACTGACCAGCTCTGAGATCATTATCTGGGCTATCTGGAGCTAATGCAAGGCATGGTCTAGTGGAGATCTCAGCCTCATAACTTTCTAAATGTTCCCCATTTGTATCGACATTAGAGATGTTTCCCAAAGATGGACTGCATACATTGGTTGCTGAGTTTTCCCCTAATTTTGCTTTCCCAAGAATATCATTTTTATTTTTAGTATTATTTCCACTGTTTGCAGGAAAGTCATTTTGTAAATGGTCTGATAATGGCTTTGGAATTTGAAGTTTAAGATTAGAAGGTTGCTTGGGTCTTGCACCACCAAAAGGAACACTGATAGATGGCAGGCTTGCTACTACCTTGGGGGAAGATTGCCCAAGCACTGATGGAACTTGACTACAGAAATTATGTAAATAATTTTTCTTCATTAGGTCACCAGTGCTGTTTAAAAGTAGTCCACTCCCTTCTGTGGCCTCATTTCCTCTCTGTTCATAAATATTTGAGTAGCATTCTGACTTGCTTTCCTCTATTTCTTTTTCTTCTGTTACTGAATCTTCTTTGGAGGGTAAAGTCTTTGGAACAAAAGAAACACCTGGGTCTTGCATTCCATAGGAATCACAACCATTAGATAGATAATTTGCTGCTGGTGTGTCTATAACAGTGGAGAAATCACATTCTTCACTTTCACTAATGCAAGTTCCTTTTAAATCTAGACCTGCATCTGCCAATCCAACACACTGTCCTCCACTATCACCATTAGTGTCCTCAGGCTGACTAATCTGTAGAAACTTTTCCTTTTCTTCGTTTACTTGGCTATCATTCATCTCATTTAGTTTAGTCAACTTCCAATTAGTCATGTCCTGAGATTCAGAGAAATGCTCTGTCATATTAAGGAATTCTGTAGTGCCAAGAGTTTCTTCATGTTCATAACCTTCATTTTCATCAGCCCTAACTTCATTAGGCACAAGGCAATCTGAACACCGTTCACAGTCATTATTCCTTCCAGACCCATTAGGCATGTCTGGTTTGAGAAGCAAAGGTAAACCAGACCGGAGGGATTCTTCAGTGGTGCTCTCCTCTGCTGGCTCTTTTTTCATCAAAATCCCCTCACTCATGTGGGAAAAGGAATTTGGACTCCCTAGATCTGTCCTAGGAGAGCTGATTTTGCCAGTGAGGTCCTCATCTGGTATATAGTTCTCTTGCTTTTTAACAGCAGGACATCCATCTGTTCCCTGGGATGAGATTACTGAATCAACCGTTAAACTTGTAATCGCAGACATGGAGGGGTCTCTACCTATACTTCCGTCATCCTTTAATTGTGAAGGGGAACAGACACTGGCTAGACTATCAGATGAAGTAGGACACAGATGGTTAACAGATCTCCCCTCTGTTTTCGGTCTATTCAATGGATCCATTTGTTTCTCTGAATTCATATCTTTTTCAGTGGACTCATTTATACTAAAACTAAATTGATCAGTTTGTCTGTTTTCATTATCCAGTGAACAGCTAAAAGCATCCATAAGGGATTGACTATTATAATTATTACAATCCTGTAAATCGTTTTGTAATGTCCTTTTATCACAGTTATGCATGACGGCTACAACAAGAACATTCTTCTCATCTGGCAGACAAGCCAGGTTTCCACATTTCTTCTCTCCCACTTCAACAGCACTGCATTGATCATCCCAACTATAGTTTCTCTTAATTAACTGGTCTTCTGCAACAGCATTTTCATCAATCCACATTGTGGCAATCTCTGGATTTAGATTACAGTCCTGTCCATTAGCACAGTGATCCTCTTCCTCTGTGGTCAGGGGAGCTGAATGAGCCAGGGAGAAGACTTTCAGTTGTGGTTGTGACTCATTAGAAACTGCAGATTCATTCACACTGGCCAAAGTAGGGTTAAATGACAGCCGGTGAGAAGGGGGATCTAGAATCTTATTCCACTTTGTATCCAATAAAGTAGAAGAAACTGTTTCATCTGGAAAAAAATAAGTAATTACAATAAGTTTGCTTGTAACACTGGAAAAGCTTATGACTAAGTTAATAACATTTCTAACTATCGTTTGAAAATTAAATATTCCAAGGATATTAGATTTCTAATTCGGGGCTAAAAAATAAGAAAATATATTTCAGACAATTCTCTGCAATTATATGTCACCAAATGGTAATATCTCAGACTATTCCAAACAACAAAAGAATTCTACCTCAATCTAGTAACATAATTAAACTGACCCACAGGTGAATGGGACCCAGAAGAGGGGAAAGCACCCTTGGATTGAGCAAAGCCAGGACAGGTGCTAATCTAATGGATTAGATGGAAAAAATTTAGAACAGTGGCTAGGATAACTAATTAAGCAGGAAGGAAAATGAAGTTTTCTGTAGAGACTGAATGCTCTACACTCTGTATCATAATTAGGATGTGGGTTTGAGAGAGATACCCATTTGCCAAAACTGGACAGTTAAGATCTATGCATTCTAATGTATATAAAGTTTACCTTTTAAAAAGCTGTTAAAAAAAATAAGAATGAAGCAGGGAGTGAGAAGGTGATAAAGGTATAAATGAAACAAAATGGCAGCATATGAAATGCTGTGAAAGCTGGATGATGGGTACACTGGGGTTTATTATACTTCTTACTTAAAAATATTTTAAATTTGCCCAACACATGTTAAAAAAAGTTTGCCACAGTACGTGAAATTCTGCTTGTAACCATGTCACAATACATTATTAATCAGGTTCATATTTATATTATTATCTGAGGACACTGGGCAAAAAGTGTTCATTTATCATATTAAATCAACATTCTTATAGTCTACCAATAAGCATAATTTCATATAATGTTTCTGTTTACTTTTTAACAGATCATAACTACAATGGCTAAGTTATTCTCTCAAGTTATAGGGCTACTGCATATGTCTAAGTAAATTAGAGAAATAAGGAACAATGCACTCAGTGCCTTTCTTGCTTTCTTCCTCCAGTATCTCTGATAATCATGGTCCTGAAATTATGCAGATATATTTGTAAGCTCAATCCTCATCTGTAACATTAATCTTCAATGTGTCCACAGCACCTTAATCAAAACTTTATTAAGGCATTTACTACACTGAAATGCAATAGTTTATCTACCCTTCTCTTTCAACCACTGAATGATTTCTGAAGGCAGAAATCATTTCTATCAATATAAGTCCTCACTTTGCATAGTGCCTGATAGGTAGAACATACACAGTAAATATATAAGTGAATATCTACCATAGTAAAAGCAGCAGGATTGAGGAACATGAAGATTAAATGATAGCTCTTGCCTCTAAGAAGTATATAATCTCATTGGGAGAATAAGAGACACGTACAAACATCTAATTAGCAGTATGGAGTAGCATAGGTACAGTAAGTCCTCACTTAACATTGTTGATAGGTTCTTGGAAACTGCAATTATAAGCAAAACAACTCACTGTATAAAGAAGCCAATTTTACTATAAGCTAATTGATATAAACAACAGTTAAGGTTCTCCGGCATACAGTGTATCAATTTGCTTAAAGTCACAGTTTCCAAGAACTTATCAAAGACATCAAGTGAGGACTCAGTGTCTGAAAACTATTATGTAGGAGTAGAAAAATAAATTCAGAGGAGACAGATATTTTCCAGGATGAGGTAAGCGAGCTTGAATTCATGAAGGCAAGAAGAACTGGGCTATGCTTCAAAGACAGTTTTATGTAAGTTTGGAAAAGAAAGCATTAATAAATAGAGGAATAAAGAAAAGCATATCCCCAAATATAAGAATTTAAGGAAGCAATAAGTAAATCAGTTTGGGTTGAGAAAAGAATTAGTGTAAAGAAGTAGTGAAAAGTTGTTAAAAAGGGCACAAAACTCAGATTGTGTGAAGAATGGGCTTAGTATCCTCTGAAATGTCAAATCCTGAATTTACCAAATTTGAACCAGTAGAGATTTGAAATTTAGTAACACAGGATTCCTTAAAAGAAAAAAAAGCAAATAAGTCATATTTCCAATATGGTTCCTGGAAACAAAAAAATAGTTACAGCTTCTTACAAGAATATTTAGCAATGTTCAAACAGAAATGATCGGGTATTAAAATTTTCATTATTCAACTGCCTCCTACCTGGGCATAATGTTGATTGCCCAGTGTCATCACAGTCTGTGGTATATTTTTTCATTTAAATGAGAAAATAAATTAACACAAAATGAGAAATCATTTTAAGTATATTCTCTAAGATAACACGAGGCTTGAAGTGATAGTTTTTAATGCAACTGGTAGTGAGATTCAAAAAAATAGTTCAAACAAATGAACCACAAAGTTACAACCAAGAAGCTGGTTTCAGAAATCCTTCTCCTTCTAAAGGAGTTATTATTCTGTAAGCAATTGCTCTATTTTTTAACTAAAATATTTTTACTGATTCAACAAAAATGTATTGAAAACAACTATACACAAAGCACCCTAATAGAATCTACAGAAGTCACAAAGAGACAAATGTAATGAACTAAGAGTTTTATTAGAGTCAGTGGTATTCTAGAAGCATAGTATTCACATGATTAGGTGTAATACATGTCTAAGTACCTTATGACTCAAAGAACTGTGATACACAGAGGGCTAAATCAAATAAAAGATTAAGAAAATACTTATACAAACAGTTGAAACTCAGAAAATAATATACCTTCCAGCCTGGTATGTACAAAGCCCACCTGGATGATGTAAAACCCCAATGATTAGATTTCACATTTACATGAACCAGGAATGAGCCTAGGAATATAGGTTAGTGTTAGGTCATCAATGGTAAAATATGAGAAAAGCAGGCCACTCTGGTAGCCTTCCTCTCTCTCTTCCTTCCTGTCATGATTCCATATTCAATTTAAGGCTGGAGAGCATTAAATATCTAAAGTAACAAAGTCAAAACTAATCTGTCTTCCCAACTGCTATCAAAGAATAGCCCGATTCACTGAATATAGCAAAGGTTTGTAAACCAATATGGAAATCATGGGCTTTATTATTTTTTAAGACAGGGTCTCACTCTGTCATCTGGGCTGGAATACAGTGGCATGATCACAGCTCACTGCAGCCTCTATCTCTAGGGCTCAAGTGATTCTCCCTCCTTTGCCTCCCAAATAGCTGGGACCACAGGTGTGCCACCAGGCCTGGCTAATTTTTTTTGTATTTTCTGTAGAGACGGGGTTTCATCATGTTGCCTGGACTGGAATCATGGACTTTGGATGGAAATATACCACTTTGTAAACTTGTTAATGCCATTTCCTGTTAGAAATAGAGAACACAGGGGAAGAACGGTGAGGAGGAAGAAATTTAATTATGGCTTACCCACTCAAGTTAAACCAAGATGGAAATTTAGAGAAAAGTCTTCCCTAAATAGAAGTGAATCTTGGCCAGGCGTGGTGGCTCATGCCTATAATCCCAGCACTTTGGGCGGCTGAGGAGGGAGGACTGCTTGACACCAGGAGTTTAAGACCAGCCTGGCCAACAAGGCGAAACCCCTTCTGTACTAAAAATACAAAAATTAGCCAGGCATGGTGGCGGGTGTATGGAATCCCAGCTACTCTGGAAGCTGAGGCATGGGAATCACTTCAGCCAGGGAGGCAGAGGTTCCAGTGAGCACTGCACTCCAGCTTGGGAGACAGAGCAAGACTTTCTCAAAAAACCAACCAACCAACAAACAAACAAAAGAAGTGAATCTTAAGTGGACATTTCTACTGATGCTTGAGAATATATAATTAACCACTTAGGCAGTTGTGATGTAAATAGTTTTAAATGTATCTTTACTTTATTGGGCAATCAATATAGAACGAGCTATTTTTCTTAGTTTAGGAAATGCAAGCACATTTCTTGACCATACATTCATTGTATAGGGTAGTTCAGTAAAGCTCAGGCTCTAGTGTCACACTGCCTGGATTCTAATCCTGCCACTTGTTCACAAGATAACTCTGAGAAAAGTGCTTAACCTCTCTGTGCCTCTATTCTCATCTATAAAATGGCAATAAGATCTGTGGGATTTTAAGTATCTGGCATTTAGTGCTAAAAAATGTTATTTCTTCCCCTGTATATTATTAAATAATATTACTATCATTAAGTCATCAGACCTGATTTTATTTTTTTAAATACTACATCCTCTTATATCCCCACATTCTCTATACCACATAGGCAAACAGATTCACCAATATAAATTCTCACCTTCGTTTTGTTCAAATTCATCTAACACCTTGTCCAGGTTGTAAGCTTCTGCTTGGAAGTAATTCTCCATCGGTGAGGAAACACCACTTAAGAGACTTGTTTAAACCTAAAAAGTAAATGCGTATTACATTTTGAATTATTAAAATATAATTTATAAATCTTAAGTATATACACAAGGATAAAATCTCTTATAAATCTTTCCAGATAATGGTAAACTACAAAACCTGGCATCCCACTGGATATATTATAAGATCTTTAAGCTAATAAATTCTAAAAACCTGTAAGCTGACAATCAACAAAATATAACTAAATATAAAAGGCTGACTTGGTGATCATTTCATGCTTCAACAGACACATTTCAGATGCTGGGAAAGGAATCATTGTTTGGTATAAAATTGTGTTTCTATTAAAGAACGAAGCTTACAGAATTTTTTTCAAATGGGAAATGACAGGGAAGTTTAAGTACAGGAGTAACGGATACTAGTTCCAAAATGCTAATGATGACTCTGACCTGGTTATTCCTTTTTTTTTTTTTTTTTTTTTTTTTTGAGACAGAGTCTCACTCTTGTTGCCTAGGCTGGAGTGCAATGGCTCCATCTTGGCTCACTGCAACCTCTGCCTCCCGAGTTCAAGCGATTCTCCTGCTTTAGCCTCCCAAGTAGCTGGGATTACAGGCAAGCACCACCATGTCCAGCTAATTTTGTATTTTTAGTAGAGACAGGGTTTCACCATGTTGGCCAGGCTGGTCTCAAACTCCTGACCTCAAGTGATCCGCCCACCTCAGTCTCCCAAAGTGCTGGGATTACAGGCATGAGCCATGCACTTGGCCCTGACCTGGTTATTCTTGTAACCCTCTTCGAGTACCATTTCTAAACCATTTCTTTAATGTTAATCGATCCAAAAGCATCCTTGGGCATATACACTAGGTATGTCAATGACTTAACAGATGCTAAGGGCACATAATAGGTGTTAAGTAAATGCTACCTATTATCTCCTTTTTTCCATCCATTACCATGATCTCCACACCTATTTCCTTAGTGTTTCAAATTTTTCTTTCCAAACTGAAAATTCTGCTTGGCTTCTTATTGATATAATACAGGCAGGGGAGGTCAAATTACAAATTCCCCAAAAAGTCTGAGTAAGGAAAACATGAAAAACAGAGAAAATCAGAAATGTAATAGGCTGTCTTTGTAAACTTTAAGTCAAATATAATAAGTGATGAAATTTCTTTGACTTACTAAGGTAGTGTTTCTTCTTCTCTGAGGTATATAAGTGTCAATGATATTTCCCTCATTTTACAAATAAGAAAACAAGCTCAGGGAATTTAACTGACTTATTCAAGTATTTCCCGGCCAGGCGTCGTGGCTCATGCCTGTAATTCCAGCACTTTGCAAGGCCAACGTGGGTAGATCACCTGAGGTCAGGAGTTTGAGACCAGCCTGGCCAACGTGGTGAAACCTCGTCTCTAGTAAAAATACACAAAAAATTAGGCAGGAGTGGTAGCGTGTGCCTGTAGTCCCAGCTACTCAGGAGGCTGAGGAGGGAGAATCACTTGAACCCGGGAGGTGGAGGTTGCAGTGAGCCGAGATTGCACCACTGCACTCCAGCCTGGGCAACAAGTGTGAAGCTCCATCTCAAAAAAAGAAAGAGTATTTTCCCATGATTATTAACTTGGTTAACATTTATAGATTGGCTCCTATTAGGTTACTTAAGTTTAGGTAGGCAAATAAGCTACATAATCTGTGAATTATTTTTTTTGGAGATGGAGTCTCACTCTGTCACCCAGGCTGGAGTGCAGTGGCTCAATCTCAGCTCACTGCAACCTCCCCCTCCTGGATTCAAGCGATTCTCCTGCCTCACCCTCCAGAGTAGCTGGGGCTACAGGTGTGTGCCACCATGCCTGGCTAATTTTTGTATTTTTAGTAGAGACAGGGTTTCACCATGTTGGCCAGGCTGGTCTCAAACTCCTGACCTCAAGTGATCTGCCCACCTCAGCCTTCCAAAGTGCTGGGATTACACGCATGAGCCACCACACCCAGCCCATAATCTATGAATTTTTTTAAATATCTATCTTTGTTGTCTAATTATTTATAGGTCAAAATCATTTTTATATGCATGCCATTTCAGATAGGTTGCACATTTAATGTCTACTAATGCTAAGAGCAAATGAAATTTCTCACAACACACAATCTGACACATTCAATATACACCTACAATATTTAACAGCATTTTATGGTCATTATAAAAATATTAGTAAACAAATAATCAGATTAACATATTTACCTACTGCATCTACTATATGCATCTATACTGTAATCAAGTCTCAGATATCATCCCTAACATTATAAAGCTTATAATTTAGTCAACAGTAAACAAGGCTAAGTAAGAAAATTTAAATAATAAATGATTTTAATAACAGCACAGGAGACAGCAAGTGATTAACCTGTCAGATAAAATTAACAGATAAGTGCTACAGAATAACTAGTACAGAAGTTCAAGAGGTTATTTAAGTTCATCATTCTTCATTTGATCTCTTTGCTCAAATATCACTTTCAAAGGCAAGTGTTATGTGAACCCCCAGAAAAGGTGATGGCTCCCCTTATAAGGGGACAGATAGAGACAGGAGGCAGCCAAGGGTACCCCAGCAAAACCCCACCTTCAAGTTTAAAACAGCATGAGGGCTGAAAAACCAAATTGCCCATCCTGGATGAAGCCTGCCCTTTTCCAACTGATTCTTTTTTTTTTTTTTTTTAAGTTCCAGGATACATGTGCAGAACATGCAGATTACATAGGTATATGTGTGCTGTGGTGGTCTGCTGCACCTACTGACTCATCCTCTAAGTACGATCCCCACCCCCGCAACAGGCCCTGGTGTGTGTTGTTCACCTCCCTGTTTGACTGATTCTTTCTGGATGCCCACCTGCGCACTGCACACTGGGAGGACGGGGTGGGGCCTTGGGAAGTTCACTCCGTTTGCCTCTCCTGTTCCTGTGTGGTAACATGGGATTCAATCTGTGAGATGGGAGCCTGTTAACAGGAACCCCTCTCGCTTTGCTGAGTTTTTTCCTTTTTGCCTTCCCCCTCACCCTTCAAAGTGTCTGTGAGCCTAGGCAGGGCGCGGAGGCTCACGCCTGTAATCCCAGCACTTTGGGAGGCCAAGGCAGGCAGATCACGAGGTCAGGAGATGGAGACCATCCTGGCTAACACGGTGAAACCCCGTCTCTACTAAAAATACAAAAAAATTAGCTGGACGTGGTGGCAAGCGCCTGTAGTCCCAGCTACTCAGGAAGCTGAGGCAGGAGAATGGCGTGAACCTGGGAGGCGGAGCTTGCAGTGAGCCGAGATCACACCACTGCACTCCAGCCTGGGCGACAGAGCGAGACTCCGTCTCCAAAAAAAAAAAAAAAAGTGTCTGTGAGCCTAATCTTTCCTGGTTGTTTGACAAGAACCCGCTTTTTCTACAACAACAATCCCTCATGGCACCCCATTCTTGGTCCTTAAAATATTTATCACCATCTATAAATACACATCAGTGTGATTATTTGTCAATCTCTCCCACCAGACTGTAGGCACCACAAGGGCACCCACCAGACTGTGTTCACCATGTATTCCTGGTGATTCACATAGAGCCTGATGTGCTAATGTGGTATCTATTTCAATTAATAACTGCAGAATGAATAAATGAACAGTGTATAAGCAGCTGGTCAATAAGTTGTACTGAATTCCAGTTACGATAACTGATTCAAACAAGCATCAAAAATGGATGCTAAACTATTAAGTAAATTATTATTGGGGAAGAAACTATTCACAGTACCTCACATTATCATTCCACAGGTAAATCACTAATTTCAAAGAAGGAAATGTATGTTTACAATGAAGAGATATAGAAATCATCACCTTAGCCAAATGATTTAACTCAGTACCACCACAACAGTTTAACAAGCTGACATTATGCACTTTCCAATATGATGCAATGAAAAATATAAAACATCACCTATACAGTATTCTTGCCAAAACATTTAGCCGATTTAATCATGAGGAGACAATAAGACAAATCTAGAATGTGAGACATTCTGTATCTGATCTGAACTTTCCAAAATATTATATGTGGCTAGGCGCAGTGGCTCACATCTGTAATCCCAGTACTTTGGTAGGCTGAGGTGGAGGATTGGATCGCTTGAGCCCAGAAGTTCAAGAGCAGCCTGGGCAACATCAACAAAAATAAAAATAAAAATTAGCCAGGTGTGGTGGTGCAGCTACTCAAGAGGTTGAGGTAGGAGAATCGCTTAAGCCCAGGAGTTCGAGGTTACAGTGAGCTATGACTGCACCACTGCATTCTAGCCTAGGTGACAGAGCAAGACCTCGTCTTTAAAAAAAAAAAAAGGAAAAAAGATTATTCTCAACTAGAACAGACAAAATATTAAATAACCAAGTGTCAGGCACTGACTTGATTCTGGATCAAGAAAACACACATATACACACACACAGCATAAATTAACATTTTGAGAACAATCTCAGAAGAAATTTGGATATGGACGATACATTGGGTGACACATTGAATTAATTATCATTTTCTTAGATGTGATAATGGCATTCTGATTTTGTAGGGGAATGCCCTTACTTGTTCTCTTAGGAGATGCCTGCTGAAGTGTTTAGGGAAGAAGTGTTGTGTTGTCTGCAACTAACTTTTAAATGATGTGAGAGTATATGTGTGGGAAGGGAAGAAAGGTGTGCAAAAGGGACAAAATGGTAAAAACTGATAACTCTAGCTGAAGGATATATGGGTCTTAATTGTTCTAGTCTTTCCATTTTTCTGCAGGCTTAAGATTTCTTAAAAGAAAAAAGGGCACACTGAGCTGATGGGTGGTAAACATTCCTTCCTACTCTAAATAAAAAAATTCTAGACAAAACTAATTATTTTAAAGAGTTTAGCACTTTGGGAGGCCAAGGTGTGAGATCGCTTGAGGCCAAGAGTTTGAGATCAGCCTGGACAACATAGTGAGACTCCGTATCTACAGAAAATTTTAAAAATTCGCTGGGTGTGGTGACACATGCCTGTAATCCCAGCTACTCATGAGGCTGAGGCAGGAAGATTGCTTCAGCTCAGGAGACGGAGGTTGCAGTGGGCCATGATGGTGGCACTGCACTCTAGCCTCAGCAACAGAGTGAGACCCTGTCTCAAAAATAAATAAATAAAAAAATTCTAAATAAAATATTTTAAAAGAGTTTAAACAGTCAAATTCAAAAGCAAGAAAGGGAAATACACAGATGCCATAAACCTAGAAGGAAAGCAGGAACTGAAGAGTGGCAGTCCATAGGAGTATCAAAACTAGACAGCAACCTTTAAGCCTGGGTTTTGAAAGGTAGCAGGAAGAATAAGAATTACTGGCTGCAAACATAGAAATTTATGCACCAGAGGGGCTAAACTGAGCTTTCTACATGAAGCCAGGAGCTACAGAAAAAGTCCCCTCCATGGTCCCAAGACTCAGCAATGGAGCAGGATGGAATAGAGTGCCAATAAAATAAACCATGAGAAATTAGAATTCCTAACCTAGTCCTCACTCAGGAGAAAGAATGATATTAAGTCTTCTCATCCAGGAACATACTAGGGTTTGCCTTTATGCTAACCCAGCTCTTCCTATGAGTTTTAACAGTGTTTTTAACTTTAAAAAGTCATTAAATATTGGATAGTCAGGGGAGAGGGTACATGCAACTACAAAGGAGTAGCAATAAGGATCTCTGTGGTGATAGAATTATGCTGTATCTTAACTGTGATGGTGAATACACAGCTGCAAAGGCTGATTGGACTGTGACATCACAGCTGTGGCTACTACAGAAGGGAAAAATGGATTTTGGTGACTTTGGTGGATAACTGATAGTTTTTGCTACAATGGGTGGAAACTTCCTTAGGCAACGCCTGAAGGATGAGATTTTGGCAAGTGAAGGCAGAAAAGAGGGCACTATCTTCTCACACTCCCATGTGAAAAGGCTAAAGGAGGAGAAATAGCTTGCCAACTGCAGACTCAGAGTTTTGGTGAAGAAGGCATTGCTGCCAAGTACCTCTGCTCCACCCTCAACTGAAGAGAAAAGTGGCTCAGTTTCCTATTAAACACTGCTGGTCCCACCATGCCTTTCCTTACAGCTTACATGGAAAAGTCAGATAACTCAACCAGAGTATGCAACATTCCATTAGTGAGTAGTGTAATCAGTTTTTGTAACCTTTCTCACCTATATACCCTCCACCATTTTCTACCCCTTCTGAAAGGAAAATCTTGGGGCCCCAAAATCACTAAGCTAAAGGGAAAAGTCAAGCTGGGAACTGCTTAGGGCAAACATCCCTCCCATTCTATTCAAAGTTACCCTTCTGCTCAATGAGATAAATGCACATCTGTTGCCTCCTTTGGAGAGGCTAATCAGAAATTCAAAAGAATGCAATCATTTGTCTTTTATCTACCTATGATCTGGAAGCCCACTCCCTGCTTCCAGTAGTCCTGCCTTTGCTTTGAATTGTCCCGCCTTTCCGGACAGAACCAATGTTCATCTTACATATGTTGATTGATGTCTCATGTCTCCCTAAAATGTATAAAACCAAGTTGTGCTCTGAGAACCCTGGGCACGTGTTGTCAGTGATACAGGAGTTAAGAAGAAATCACTTAGGCAGATAGTAAGGGTACGAGAGTCCTCAGTAAGGCTTTTCTTTTTAATGAAAAGTAGCCCCAAATCATTTTCTTTTTTCTTTTTGAGACAGAGTCTCACTCTGCTACCCAGGCTGGAGTGCAGTGGCATGATCTCGGCTCACTGCAACCTCTGCCTCCTGGGTTCAAGCGATTCTCCTGCCTCAGCCTCCCGAGTAGCTGGGATTACAGGCTTGTGCCACCATGCCCGGCTAATTTTTGTATTTTTAGTAGAGATGGGGTTTCACCACGTTGGCCAGGCTGGAAATCATTTTCTAACAAAGAGCAGTCTGTGAAGTCGAGCTGCAGACACAGACAAGGAAGCTGGGAGCTTGCACGGGTGAATGCCAGCAGGAACTAGGGACTAGACATGCTCAAGATGGAGGCTCCATCTTCCCTTCTCTGCCAGCCACATGTACAGTAAGGAGCAGATAAGATGGCACCTGCCAAGGAGAAAGTTCGTTTGCATAATAAGATTAGGGTGGGGCAACCAGCCTTCCCTGCATGCTATGTAAACTTCATACCTGATCGAACCAATCTGTGAGCTCTACATAAATCAGACACCGCCTCCTCAAGCTGGACTATAAAATCCGGCGCATCCACCACCTGCCAGTCTTTTCCCTCGGAAGACCCGTCTCTCTCAATAGAGAGAGCTGTTTTTCTTTCTCCTTTCTTCTGTTTATTAAACCTCTGCTCCTAAACTCCTCGTGTGTGTCGGTGTCCTAAATTTTCCTGGCACAAGACGATGAACCTTGGGTGTATACCTCAGACAACACAGTTGCTTCATCAGGACCTCTTGGGTGTCCTCAACCTTGGCAAAATAAACTTTCTAAATAAACTGAGACCTGTCCCAGATGTTGGGACAATTTAGTTCCTCTTCAAAGACTCAACTTCCTGGTCATAAGTTGTAAACAATCCTACCCCTTCTTCTGTTAAGCCTAACTGTTTCTTCTTTACCGCCACCCCTTCACAAATCACACTTTTACCCTATTTGGAAAAGTTTAAGCCTTGGCCAATCGGGATCAGCTTAGATTGTGCAGTCCGACCCATCCAACATGGGAAAGACACAGAAACAGGAACTGTGTTAGGGTTAAAAACCCCTTCCTTCGTTTGGTGTGCTCTTGTATTTGTAACAGGCATAAGCAGCACCCTTCGGCAGAAGTAAAGTTCCTTGCTGAGAAAACTTCTAAATGCGGGTTTCTTTTCACTACACTGAGCACTTGTTTCCAACAAATCTGGGGGCTTGTCCAGGATCCCATTCTCCTTTGGGAGGGGCTAGTGATTATCTTTCATGGGGAGACGCATCCCACTGCCTCGTTGTGGTGGCCCCAGGAGTGGAGGATCGAATCTCGCCCAAAGTGACGAATAAATCCGGACTCTCAGCAACATGGGCTATAGGGAGGATCCCTAAGAATTCCTCAGTGACCAGATAACTCTGTGCATAGACCAAGGTAAGAAACGTCACTATTGGGGCAACAAAGTATTCCTTGGTGGTTGGGATCTCTGTAGGTTGAAAGTGTGTGAGTGAGACACGCCATTGGGTGCGAAGCGAGTGTGGAGTCCGGACTCGGTTCTGTGGTCACCTTGTAGGTCTTAGGGCAGTTTTCCAGTCAGGGGATTACACCAACCCACCAATACTAAGAGGAACCTAAAATTCTCACGAGGGAAGCAGCCAATAAGGACAAAGTGGGTGCTCACAAGAGTGCAAGAAACCTCCAGTGGGAAAAGGGGAGGTTCAGCCTCTAGGACACGGGAGTGCAAGAAATCTCTAATACGAGACATTTAGCCTCACCAACCGCCAGGATGGGAAATACCCCAAGTAAGACAGGGACTATAAAAGGCCAAGCAGACAATAAAATTCCCCCTGACAGTCCCCTATGCCTTATGTTAAAATACTGGAAGGATAATGAAAGGACAAAACACAAGAAAAGACAGCGTATGATAAAGTATTGCTGTTTTTATTTGGACTAAGGAACCCACCCTCAGACCTTCAGTCTTTTGGCCAGAGTTTGGGTAAAATGAGGACTGGATATGTCAACTCCTGATCCAGTAAGTCAATGATAAAAGTCCAGTTTCTCAAGAGGAGACAGATGATGCTCTATGTTGGAGAAAAAGACCTGTCCTTCTCTATCCCCTAAAGGATGAGAAAGCAAAGCCAAATTCAATACCTCCCAAAGACGACCTACCTAAGTCAAATTCTGTATCTAAAGATGCATGGGATCCTCTAGACCACCTTCCCCTGCCTACCCCTCCACCCTAAGTGGAACACTCAGTCCTTCCCCTCCCTACCCCTCCACCCCAAGCTGAACACTCAGTTCCTCTCCCATATAACCCTGCCCCATGGGCCATGCCACCCCACATCCCCGCTGGACAGCCACCTGAACATGCCCCTTCCTCAGGAAAGCTCCAATGGGAAATAGACAATGCCAAAGGGATATCCAAAACTTTCCTTTCCTCCCTTCCTCAAAGAAGTCTACCCCAACCCTTTTTCCCTTAAGGGAAGTACCACTAGGAGGAGGGGATATTGGCTTTGTAAATGCCCCCTTAACTAGTTCAGAGGTTAGAAATCTAAAAAAGGAACTCAAACCACTGTTAGACGACCCTTTTGGAATCGCAGATCAAACTGGACAGTCTCTGGAGCCACAACTGTACACTTGGGCTGAATTAATGTCTATCCTAGTTATTCTCTTCTCAGGAAAGGAAAGAACCATGATCTTCAGGGCTGCCATGATAGTCTGGGAGCGCAAACACCCTCCTGTTCAAAATGTCCTTGCAGCAGAGCATAAATTCCTGGCCCAGGACCCTCAGTGGGATAACAATAATGAAGCCCACTGAGAAAACATGAGAGATCTCAGGGACATGATAATTAAAGGGATTTGGGAATCAGCTCCTTGAACCCTAATGTTTCCTGAGCATTTAATGTACAACAAGGGAAAGATGAAAGGCCCATAGAATTCTTAGACTTAAGGAACAGATAAGAAAATATGCAGGTTTAGACATAGAGGACCCACTGGGACAAGGAATGTTAAAGCTCCACTTTGTCACCAATAGTTGGCCAGACATTACAAAAAAAATACAAAAGATAGAAAATTGGAAAGACCATCCCATAGAGGAACTTTTAAGAGGCCCAAAAGGTGTATGTAGAGAGGGATGAGGAAAGGCAGAAGCAAAAGGCAAAGATTATGCCTGTCCACCCTACAACAGGGAACTCTTCAACAGGGAGCCCAGGAGAATAGAACTTGTAGACCTTCTAAGCACCTGGCTGTCTGACCCCTATACAGGAAGCAAAGGGATGAAACCTGAGAGTCAGGGAACAGGGAGGGGGAGAAGGGAAAACAGATGTTTCTAGTGTGGAAAGCCAGGACATTTTAAGAGGGAATGTCCTGAATGGGAGAGGGAAAAGAAAGTCCTTCCACTCATGACATTTGAAGAAGAATAGCGGGGTCAGGTACTCTACATCTTCCATCTTGAGTCCCACCAAGAGCCCCTGATAAATTTAATGGTGGGACCCAAATCAGAGATAGTCACTTTCTTAGTCGATTCAGGAGCAGCTCGCTTTCCCTATGTTTTCTCCCATCAGGCTTAGCATTTTCAGCAGAAAACCATACTGTCTCAGGGTTTATAGGGGAAGGATTCAGGGCAAAAATTCTAGAGGAAACCAAAGTCAAATATAAGAATAAGTCGGCCACTACTAAGTTCTTATTAATTCCCAAAGCAGGAACTAATTTATTAGGAAGGGACTTAATGTTAAGGTTAGGCATAGGCCTATACGTTAATCAGGGAAAACTTACTTCCTTAAACCTGGTCACCACTTCGGAAGAAAGCCAAATCCATCCCGACATATGGTCAAAGGAAGGAAATCGAGGAAAGCTACAGGTTCCTCCAATCCATGCCAAATTAAAAACTACCAGGGAAGCAGTAAAAACAAAACAATACCCTATTCCCTTGGAAGCCAGGATAGGTTTAAAACATATAATTGAAAGCCTTGTCCACGATGGACTCCTTGAACCCTGTATGCCCCCTTATAACACTCCAATATTGCCTGTAAGGAAGCCAGACAGGTCATCCCGGCTAGTGCAAGACCTCCAGGCTATTAATCAAATAGTTCAAACCGCCCACCCTGTTGTTCCCAATCCTTACACCATTGTCAGTAGAATCCCATACAACCACCAATGGTTCATGGTGATAGATTTAAAAGATGCCTTTTGGGCTTGCCCTTCAGCAGAAGATAGTCGGGACATGTTTGCCTTTGAGTAGGAGGACCCTGACTCTGATAGAAAACAACAGTACTGATGGACAGTCTTGCCCCAAGGGTTCACAGAGTCCCCAGATCTATTTGGTCAAATATTAGAACAAGTTCTAGAAAATTTCTCCCTGCCTTCATCCATATGCCTTCTCCAATATGTGGATGACCTGCTCATCTCAGGAGATAACAAGGATCAAGTAACAGCAATTTCAGTTAACTTCCTAAATTTCCTAAGGGAACAAGGGTTACAGGTCTCAAAGAATAAACTCCAATTCGTAGAACCTGAGGTGAAATACCTAGGACACCTAATCAGTAAAGGCAAACGAAAGATAGGACCCAAACAAATTGAAGGTATGGTATCTTTGCCTTTACCTGAAACAAAGCAGGAACTTAGGAAATTCTCAGGATTGGTTGGATATTGTCATCTGTGGATTAACTCTTATGCCTTAAAAACAAAGCCCCTATATCAAAAACTCACTCAAGAAAGACCAGACCCTGTAAACCCTCCTCTGGACCCCATCAGAGATCCAACAGGTAGAAGAAATAAAACACCTACTTGTAACAGCCCCCATTCTGGCCTTGCCCTCCTTAGAACAGCCATTCCACCTTTTTGTTAATATAAGCAAAGGAGTGGCCTTAGGAGTACTCACCCACAAACACGGAGGCCACCAATGGCCCGTAGCCTTCCTGTCAAAAATCCTTGACCCCGTAACCCGTGGATGGCCCGAATGTGTCCAATCCATAGCAGCAACTGCCTTGCTAACAGAAGAAAGCAGGAAAATAACCTTTGGGGGAAACCTCATCATAAGTACCCCTCATCAAGTCAGAACTATTCTTAATCAGAAGGCAGAGAGATGGCTTACTGACTCAAGAATTTTAAAATATGAAGTTATCTTATTAGAGAGGGATGACCTAACACTAACCACTGACAATTCACTCAACCCCGCTGCTTTCCTAACAGGAAATCCAAACCCAGAAGAATCTACGCATAAATGCTTAGATCTAATCAGTTCTCAAACTAGAGTCAGACTGGATCTAAGCAAAACCCCTTTCCAAACAGGGCATCACCTCTTTACAGATGGTTCCCCCCGGATCATTGAAGGAAAAAGGTACAACAGGTACTCCACAGTTGATGGGGAAATCCTCACAGAGGTAGAGTCAGGAAGACTGCCAAATAACTGGTCTGCCCAAACTGTGAATTCTTTGCATTAAACCAAGCCTTAAAATCCCTGCAGAATCAAGAAGGAACTATTTACACTGACTCCAAGTATGCCTTCAGAGTAGTCCATACCTTTGGAAAAATCTGGACTGAACGAGGCTTCATCAATAGTAAGGGCCAAGATTTGGTCCACAAAAAATTAATTTTGCAAGTATTAGAAAATCTTCAGCTGCCAGAAGAAATTGCAGTTGTCCATGTCCCAGGACACCAAAAGAATCCATCTTTTGAAAGCCAGGGAAATAACCTTGCAGATCAAACAGCTAAGCAAGCTGCCTCTTCTGAAAAGGCACCCATTTTCCATCTATCCCTTTGTTTCCCCCTCCAGCTGCGATCCCCATCTTCTCCCACGTAGACCTTTCTCTAAAGAAAATAGGAGCTCAGGAGAGCCCAGAGGGAAAGCAGGCATTACCAGATGGAAGGGAAATGCTGTCTAAGCCCCTCATGAGGGAAATATTGTCACAGCTTCATCCAGGAACTCACTGGGGTCCTCAAGCTATGTGCAATGTAGCCCTCAGAGTCTATGGGTGTATAGAGTACTAGGCAAGTGGAAGATGGTTGCATCATGTGCAGAAAAACTAGTAAGGAAACCCTAAAGAAGCAGCCTCCCACGGGAAGAAACCCAGGGTTAAGGCCATTCCAAAGCATCCAAGTTGATTAAACTGAAATGCCCCCAATCGGCTGCCTCAAGTATTTACTAGTCATAGTAGACCATCTCACCCACTGGGTAGAAGCCATACCCTTCCCAAGCACAACTGCCAGTAATGTAGTCAAAGCACTGTTGGAACATATCATATCCAGGTTTGGACTAATAGAGAACACTGATTCAGACAATGAGACTCACTTCACTGCACACATCATTAAGGGGCTAACCCAAGCACTAGGAATAAAATGGGAATATCATACTCCCTGGCATCCACCTTCATCAGGGAGGGTAGAAAGAATTAATCAAACTCTAAAAAATCACCTAACCAAATTAATCTTGGAAATCCAGTTACCATGGACAAAATGCCTTCCCATTGCCTTACTAAGAATCCAAACTGCCCCTCAAAAAGATCTTGGCCTGGCAGGGTGTGGTGGCTCACACCTGTAATCCCAGCACTTTGGGAGGCCAAGGAGGGTGGATCACAAGGTCAGGAGTTCGAGACCAGCCTGGCCAATATGGTGAAACCCCGTCTCTACTAAAAATACAAAAATTAGCCGGGCGTGGTGGCTGGTGCCTGTAGTCCCAGCTACTCAGGAGGCCAAGGCAGGAGAATTGCTTGAACCTGGGAGGTGCAGGTTGCAGTGAGCCAAGATCACTGCACTCCAGCCCGGGCGACAGAGTAAGACTCTGCCACACACACACACACACACACACACACACACACACACACACACACACACACACAAAAGATCTTGGCCTGAAATGCTCTATGGGCTGCCTTATCTAAATTCCACTACTGACCTTCCCACATTTGAAACAAAAGATCAGTTTCTAAAAATATATATATTTGGTCTGTCTTCCACCCTTTCCTCCCTCAGGACTCAAGGCCTCCTAGCGCAAACTCCACCCCTCGAATTCCCAATTCACCGACACCAGCCCAGAGATCACGTCCTTATCATATGTTGGAAAGAAGGAAAGCTTGAACCAACCTGGGAAGGACCTTATCTAATACTCCTTATCTAATACTCCTAACCACTGAGACAGCAATCTGAACGGCCAAAAAAGCATGGACCCACCACACTGGGCTAAAAGGGGCCGCAACCATTGCAAAGTCATGGACCATCATTCCAGGATCAATACCCTCCAAACTAACATTCAAAAAGGTTTAATCTGTCTTTTTATTCTTCCTTTAGCTACCCAAGGACACCTTATTATCAATGTAACCCGATCACCCTCCCCACAATTACATTCGATGCCTGTCTTGTCATACCCTGTGGAAACCTCCATAGTCAAAGACAGCTAGCTTCTTCAGAAAAGTACCTCTGCCCCCCATCCCCAGAAAAACCAGCACCACCCCCGACCCTTGCAATCAACGACCACAAGCCTTCCAGGGGTTATGTTATAGTTGGGGAGATATTATCTGGACCACGAAATATCAGGGCTGGACCTCCTCAGAGGGTCGCACCGCCCTAAAACCCTACCTCCACTTCACCAAAGGAACCACCCCCTCAAATTGCCAAAACCACCAGTGTAACCCAGTACTTCTCTCTATTCCTATCCCCACCTCCACTGACCCTATCCCCACTTTAGAGCACCTTTATGGCCTAGGAGCAGATGTCACTGCAAAAGACCCTACAGGCATCTTTGAAATGAGGTTTGCTCCTCCTCCTCCATCTCCCCCCATTACCCGCTTCCCAAAACCACAAAAATCAAACCATTTCTCGCTTCATGCCTACTGACAAAACCAAAGTAGCTATAGTAGAAGTTAAGGATTTACAGCAAACCCTAGCCATAGAAACCAGTTATCAAGATGTAAATGCCTAGCTGGAATTGATTAAATATTCCATTCGCACCCTAAATAAAACAGATTGTTACGCTTGTGCAACAGGCAGGCCAGAAACCCAAACTGTTCCCCTCCCACTCGGATGGGCCAATCCATCAGGCAAAGACTGTATGGTAGCTCTCTTCCAGCACCCCACAGCCTGGGGAAACATGTCATGTGCCACTCACTCACTATTTTCCCCAAAGGTCAGGACCCCTATGGGACAGCCCCCAAGGGCCATTCAACTTCCAGCTCTCGATGCCAATTTTACCTTGTGTCTTTCACAACAAGGGGAAAATTTGACATTCCTTGGAAACCTGATGGGATGTAGTGGGCCTAAACCTTTTCAAGAGATAACCAATCAGTCAGCCCTAGTCCATCCCCGAGAGGATGTATGGTGGTATTGTGGGGGACCAATATTTGGTACACTGCCAAGCAACTGGAGTGGCACTTGTGCTCTGATTCAACTGGCCATGGCTTTCACCATGGCATTTCATCAGGAAGCAGGTAACCAGAAGAAAAAAAGAAGCCCCAATAAATGGGTCCTTTGACCCTCAAGTTTACATAGACAGCATCAGGGTCCTGCGGAGGGTACCAAATGAATTCAAAGCTCAAAACCAAATAGCCGCCAGGTTCGAGTCTATCTTATTCTGGTGGTCCACTATAAACAAAAACGTAGACTGGATAAATCACATATACTACAATCAGCAGCAATTCATCAATTATACCAGAGATGCCATAAAAGGAATCGCTGAAACTAGGCCCCATCAGCCAGATGGTCTGGGAAAACAGAATAACCCTTGACATGGTGTTGGCCAAAAAAGGCAGAGTCTATGTCATGATCACGGTCCAGTGTTGTACTTTTATTCCTAATAATACAGCCCCTGATGGGACAATCATAAAAGCCTTACAAGGCCTTACCACCCTAGCAAATCAATTAGCCAAAAACTCTGGAATAGACGACCCCTTTACAGGCCTAATGGAAAGGTGGTTTGGAAAATGGAAGGGACTCATGACCTCAATCTTTACTTCCCTTGCAATTGTTAAAGATGTACTCATCCTTGTCGGTTGCTGTATCATACCTTGTATTCGTGGGTTAACCCAAAGGCTCATAGAAGCAGCTCTCACAAAAACCTCCCCAACCTCTCCCCCTCCGTACTCAGATAAGCTCTCGCACCTTGATAATCAAGAAGAACAACAAAGCCAGATCCTGTTAAAGAAATCTGAAGATGAAGAACTGTAAGACAGAAGAGGGGAAATTGTTGGGACGACTTGAGTTCCTCTTCAAAGACTCAACTTCCTGGTCATAAGTTGTAAACAATCCTACCCCCGCTTCTGTTAAGTCTAACCATTTCTTCTTTACCCACCCCGCCCCTTCACAAATCTCACATTTACCCTGTTTGGAAAAGTTTAAGCCTTGGCTAGTTGGGATCAGCTTAGATTGTGCAATCCAACCCTAGCCAATAGGGAAAAGATACAGAAACAGGAACTGTGTTAGGGTTAAAAACCCCTTCCTTCCTTTGTTCGGTGTGCTCTTGCATTTGTAATAGGTGCAAGCAGCACCCTTCTGCAGAAGTAAAAGTGCCTTGCTGAGAAAATTTCTGTCTAAGTGCGGGTTTCTTTTGGCTACATCAAGCACTTGTTTCCAACACAGATATTGGGGGTTCACACCCTTAAATAATCTTAAGACTTGAAAAAAAACAACATGACTCCTAGTTAGGAAAAAGACAAGGATTCCTGTTCTACAAGAATACTTCCAGTTTTCTGCTGGAAATTATTGCTCTACATAATAACTTACCTAAAAATACAAAATAAAATAACATAATTAAATTTACATTTCTGATTCCCCATCACCAAATTAGCTTTACTTGTTTAGCTCTTGCATGAGCTTAAATATTGCTCAAATCCATATTTTTTCTGAAATTACCTTTCTATGGTCAACAAACTCTAAAACGAAGGAGCCAGCACTGGGAGGGAAATTAACATTGTGACCATTGTGACACAAAATAACAGTGATTTTTAAATACCCTTTTCCTCTGAATTTAAGTCAAATCTTTTTGAAAAAAAGCATACTCCTGATTTAATAAGACACAATGTTATAAATGATGCAAGTAACATATATGCATCAGCATTATCTTCTATAGATCTCATTGGTTTCTCAAGTTCAATCTCTAAGAGAAATAAAAACATTTTCTTACCTTTTTCCCCTTACACACGTGATAAGGAACAGACTTCTCGGTGCTTACTCATGATGTCTGCTGCACCACCAGCCAGTCCTGCTGATTCAGTATGCTCTGTTTGATCCTAAAGGAAAAACACATTGCTCATTACACTTGCTGAAACAATAAGCCCTCATTTTCTTCATATAAATCTACCATAGCCAGACAAATGAAAGCAATAGGGCTGAAACAGTAGATAAAATTATACCTTTGGATTCAAAGACCTGGCTTGCATACAAGGTAGCAACAGAGACATTTTATTGTCTGAAAGGCCAAAAGTTAAATGTTTCAATGAAGAAGAGTTTTTGCACGTTTATTTTCAATGGATAATGCAAAGTGAGAAACATCAACAGCAGGCACTTTCTACCCAATGACTTTAATTGTGTTAATTCATAAGTATATAATTTGCCTTATAATAGGCCCTCCAAGAATCCAAAGCTAAGAAAACTGCTGCTTCACAAGAATGTCCTTCTAGTGTGATTTTTTTTCTATACATGTAGAATTCTTGAGTTTCACAAGTTTCCAGTTGTGATTTTTATTGCCAAACTGTTTTTTTTCTCCAAATGGAGTCTCTTGATTCCAGTCCTCCTCCAACTGCTTAGAAGCAATGGATCTATTAACCCAGTATTAACCTTCACTATCAGGCATGCATGCAAAAGACAAAGGCTCTTCAAATATTGCTTCCTTCTTGTGAAAATACGACAATATCCATTAAGTTATGGTAGCCCAACTATAACTGCTTAGAGACAATGTAAAATTCTTTAAGGGCCTAATTTAGCCTTGAACAAGATTAGTAGTTGAAGCTAATCAGAATAAAACTAAGACTATGAATATTATATTATCAGTATAAAATATCTAACACATAATCATAGTATTTTCAGAACACGTAAGTATCTTGGAGATAATTTAATGAACACTACTTAATTTTAAAGATAAACTGAGGCAGCAAGAAAAATTTCCTGACATTACAAATATTCTATTATCAGATGTGAAAATGATATGCTTAATAAAAAATAAGAGAATAAGTAAAAGGCCTAAAATTCAAGTTTCCAAGACCCAATGAAGAATAAAGAATGAAAATCACTGGTAAAAGATTTCCCTGTCTTGAGAACTAGAAAAATATGCACATGCTATGATATACTCTAAATGAGAAGAGCTACTGACACTAAGAAACAGATTTATATCTATTAAATAAAGGACTAAGTCATATCAGAAGTATGAAAGAATAAAAATACAAACCAAGGTCAAAATGAGAATGAAAGTAAAGTAACCACTCCTCTAATACCTAGCTGATTAA
The DNA here is from genome assembly GCF_000001405.40 of Homo sapiens. NCBI lineage: Eukaryota > Metazoa > Chordata > Mammalia > Primates > Hominidae > Homo > Homo sapiens. The sequence continues at coordinate 52,215,156 of NC_000001.11, read as the reverse complement.
AGATTTTCTTAAACAAAATTAACTCTATAGATTCAAGGTCAAATCATATATATAGTTTTTCAATATGTGAGGCAAGTCCAATAATAGATAATTTTATATATCAACTTGACTGAGACATGGGGTACTCAAATTAAATACTATTTCTGGGTATGTCTGTGAGGGTGTTTCTGGATGAGCTAATCTCATTTGAATCAGTGTACTGAATAAAACAGATTGCCCTCCCCAGTGTGACCAGACATGATCCAATCCATTGAGGACGTGAATAAAATAAGGCTTGAGGAAGAGGGAATTCTCTCTGATTGGTTGAGCTGGGACATCAATCCTCTGCCCTCAGAATGGGACTTACATCATTGGCCCTCTAGTCTCAGAATGACACCACCAGCTTTCCTGGGTCTCCAGCTTGCAGACAGCAGATTGGGAAACTTCTCAGCCTCTATAAATGTGTGAGCCAATTCCTTATAATAAATTTAAACACACACACACACACCCCTCCATATACTATTGGTTCTGTTTCTTTACAGAACCCTAATACAAATAATATTACAGGTTTTTCTATTGGAATTATATTCCAGTCTCAGCTGGCAAAGCCTCAACTCTAGCTAAATCCAACCATCCACCTACTACATACATTCCCCTAAGTAGCTGAAATCTGGCTGGTGGAAAATCACACAAGACCACTAGTGGCTAGTCTCAACTTTACTATTTTATTTTATTTTATTTCATTATTTTTGAGATGGAGTCTCACTCAATCACCCAGGCTGGAATGTAATGGTGCAATCTTGGCTCACTGCAACCTCCACCTCCCAGGTTCAAGAAGTTCTCGTGCCTCAGCCTCCTGAGTAGCTGGGATTACAGGCATCTGCCACCAGGCCCAGCTAATTTTTGTATGTTTAGTAGAGAAAGGGTTTCACTGTGTTACCCAGGCTGGTCTCAAACTACTGACCTCAAGAGATCTGCCTGCCTCAGCCTCCCAAAGTGCTGGGATTACAGGCATGAGGCACCGCGCCCGGCCACATTTATAACTTTACATTTTCCTTAATCTACTTTCAACCTGCACCTCATCCCCTCCTGATATGCTTGGTATCCTTCAATTCAAAGTATCCTCTATTCAATTCTTCCAGAAAATAAACTTCTAGACCCCTGCAGGATGAAGGGGAAAGTTACTTGGCTACATAGGATTCTGCAAAACTAATCATTCTTTGTATCATATTCCAGCCAATCTACTTTCAGTACCACACCTCACCTAAGCCCTTAGAGAACCTTGGAGTCTCTATATCACAAATCTCTCTAAGGTGCTGTGGGGCTTCTCAACATATCTTCCTCCGCAGGCAAGCAGCTTATTGCGTCTTCAGTTTGAAGACCTTCACTCTTTCCATTTACTGAAACCTTTCATCCACTGTTATCTCCTCTTCTGTTCTTACTTCTTACCATTTTATGAGGGTTTCAAGAAAGAAAGAAAATAAATGGTGTGTGTGAGGAAGGGTCAATAAATCCTCTTTTTTTTTTGAGACACAGTCTTGCTCTGTCGCCAGGCTGGAGTGCAGTGACACGATCTCGGCTCACTGCAACCTCCACCTCCCGGGTTCAAGCAATTCTCCTGCCTCAGACTCCTGAGTAGCTGGGACTACAGATGCACGCCACCAGGCCCGGCTAATTTTTTTGTATTTTAGTAGAGACAGGGTTTCACTATGTTGCCCAGGCTGGTCTCAAACTCCTGAGCTCAGGCAATCCGCCCACCTCAGCCTCCCAAAGTGCTAGGATTACAGACGTGAGCCACCGCACCTGGCCTCATCCTGTTTAATTGTAAGTCTCCATTCTTACCTTTGAGAAGTGACATACAATAAAATAAAATTATTGCATTCATTCTTAAAAGTAGACTTAAAGTTGCTAATGCCCTAATAAATAAAGAAATAGTTCAGAAAAATAAAGGAAGGGAAAGGGAGACACAGAGAGAAACCAACAAGCAATATGTAGTGAAAAGAAGAATTCCATCACCTCCCATGGAGAATATGCTTCTCAGATAAAGAGACAAATAACGCCAGTACTTTTTACCCAGAATGAGCATTACAGTAATGACTTATTCATTGCCTTTTGACATTACAGAATCATTTTTTGGAAGGAACAAAAGAAGTTTAGTAAATGGATAGATGGATAGGTATACAACATAAAACAGTACAAATGTCTTCAATACAGTTCAAGATACATGAGAGGAAAACAAAGAATTTCACAGAACTCCTCTAATATTCCACTCAAATGTCATCTCCCAATGTGAAATTAATAATTACAATAATTAATCACATAGTTCTCTGTGTTCCCATAATGTTTATATTTCACATTACATGTAATTTCTCTCTTTACAAAACGACTACACTAAACCATAAGTTCACCCAAGACAGGAAACCCTTTTTATTCATACTTTTATTCCAAGGCCCCAGCACAATTCTTTTCACATAGTAGTATTCAAAATATGTGGAATGATTTAATTATTTAATTAAGTATAGCATATAACACACTACCATGGCAAAGATTCCAAAGAAGTTCCTAATTTCATCACCCTCATCCCATTTCTACAACTGCCTTAGCTTAGGCCCTCATCAGTTCTCGCCTAGAGTGGTTCATATAGTTACCAAACTAGTGTTATTGCCTTCATTTCTCTATAAAATATATCCTTCATAATCTTAACTGAAATAGCTTTCTAAAATCATAAATCTGGCCAGGTGCAGTGGCTCACACCTTAATCCCAGCACTTTGGGAGGCCAAGGTGGGTGGCTCACTTGAGGCCAGGAGAGTTCAAAACCAGCCTGGCCAGCATGGCAAGGCCCCATCTCTACTAAAAATACAAAAATTAGCCAGGCATAGTGGCATGTGCCTGTAGTCCCAGCTATTTGGGAGACTGAGGCAGGAGGACAACTTGAGCCTGGGAGGTGGAGGTTGCAGTGAGCTGTGATCATGACACTGCACTCCAGCCTGGGCAACAGAGTCAGACCTTGTCTCAAAAAAATAAATAAATAAAAATAAATGTTTTACTTTGAAATATAAAAACTGAAAAGCAAAGGGAATGGGAAAGATAAGGATCTAAAAAGATTATCTCCCTGGGATGTATAACAGAAGACTAAAATTTTAACTGTAATATGAAGGAACGTTAAAGAACCATCATTTAAAATTAAGAAACAAAGATTTTAGTTCTTACATAAACTTATAAGGAAAGGTCACAGGTATAAAGATGATGCTTAAAATATAAAATGCAAGAAATTCATAGGAATCTCTGATATGAACATGTTTATAACAGAAGAATTATTTGTGAGGGTGAAAATTTCCAAAATCCTGGCCATAGATTTTAAAAAAGAAAATAAAATGATGATATGTTTGAAAATATTATCAGTTAAAGATGTTTCCTATCTTGGCTGTGATTAATACTATTCTCTGTAAACAAATTCAGTATCTGACCAGTAATCAAACTCTTAAATTTTATTTTATTTCTTAGAGATGGGGTCTCGCAGTGTTGACAAGGCTAGACTCAAACTCCTGGGCTCAAGTGTTCCTCCGGCCTCAGCCTCCTGAGGCTGGGAGTAGCTACGACTGCAGGTACACACCACTGTACCCGGCTCAGTAAAGAAACTTCTTAACATTTCTGCCAGAAAGTCTGACAAAGTGTTCAAACTCAACAGGTACAAAATCACATTCAATCTTCCAAGTCCCCTCTTTCTGTTCCCAATCTTAGTCTGAGCAGGGTTCTCAGGTAGGGATGGCAGATTGTATTTTTTTAAATGGCTGCTACTATATCTCCCATCCCACATGATTTTTTAATGTGATTGTGACGTAGCACCTGTGACTCAGGTGTCACAGTCACATTAAGAAGATAGTGTGGGATGGGTGATTTCAACTGAGTGGTGAAATCTATGTCTCCTTCCTCTAAACCTGGGCAGACATTCACAACTACCTCATCTAATGGAGTATAACAAAGGGGAAACTATGTAACTTCCAAGACCAGGTCATGAAAGGTAATACAGTTTCTGACCACTCCTTTTGGGACACTCACTCTTGGAACCCAGTAACCATGCCAGAGAAACCACACGGAAAGCCCACATTTCGGTGATCTGCCCCATGAATCTCTACACATGTGAATGAGCAAGCCTCAAGATGACTCTAGCCCAGCCACTGTCTGACTACAACTGCATGAAAACCCTAAGAGAGAAATACCTGGCCAGGGGCGGTGGCTCACACCTGTAATCCCAGCACTTTGGGAGGCCAAGGTGGGCAGATTACCTGAGATCAGAAGTTCGAGAAGAACCTGGCCAACATGGCGAAACCCCGTCTCTACTAAAAATACAAAAATTAGCCAGCTGTGGTGGCAGGCACCTGTAGTCCCAGCTACTCGGGAGGCTGAGGCATGAGAATCTCCTGAACCCAGGAGGTGGAGGTTGCAGTGAGCCAAGATTGCACCACTGCACTCCAGCCTGGGCAACACAGTGAGACTATGTCTCAAAAAAATAGAGAGAGAGAGAACCACCTAATTAAGTAAGCCCAATCAATCCCCAGAACCATGAGAGATAATTAAATTGTTATTTTAAACCACTACATTTTGGTGTAATTCAAATGGAACAGCAGGTTAGTAATCTGATAGTCTCCAAACCAATCTCATATAAACATTTTAAAGAGAAGAATAAAAACCTTAATAGGGACAGGGAAAAAAGATGACCCACTGATGGTAGCCACTCAATAAAACAAGCTTTGGGTCTCTTAGAGTACAGTTTAGGAAACAACTAATGTTACTCAGGCAAAAAGCGAGGTAAGAGAGGGGTTTTACTCCATCTACAGTAGCTTATCAAAGTTTTCCTCCAACCCACATACACTGCTACTAAGTAGGGTTCCAGTAAATGCATTTTTTCTGACTCATTAATGTTCCAGTGCCATTTTACTACTTATATATTGGCACCGCAGGAACTTACCTAGCAGCCAGCTCCTTAATGAGTAAGTGCATTATCATCCACTTGTCTCATAAACTCAGAAACTTAAGTACAATTCTAGATACTATCCTCTCCTCCCAACTCTACATTCAATCGAACATCAAGTCTTATCAATCTTACCTCTTAAATCTTTCAAATCCATCCACTTCTCTCCATTCCCACTGCCATATCCCATAATGCCTCCATCTTTCTGTTGCCTAGATTTTTGCAAGAATCCTAGTCTCCCTGCCCCCTGTTTTGTACCCATCTAGCCTATTCTCCACACAAATACAAAACCCAAATCTGATTGTATCATTTCCATACTTAACATCATTCAATGTCATCCTATTGCCCTTAGGATAAAGTCCATACTTCCATAACATAGCTGACAATGTTCTGTTCTGTTTGATTTGGTTTCTGCTTACTTCTCTAGTATGACATCTTATTCTCTATTCTCAAATTCTTACTCTATGCAGTAGTCATCTTGATCAACACAAACCCTCAATTCTCAATCTTGCCTATTTTCCAAAACACACCTTCATACCAATACATGCTACAACATGAATGGACCTTGAAAACATTATGCTAAGTGAAAGAAGCCAGTCATAAACAACCACATATTATGTGGCTCTATTAATATGAAATGTCCAGAATAGGCACGTCCACAGAGACAGAAAGTGTATTAGTGTTGCCAGGGGCTGGGGAGAGGAGGAAATGGCGTGTGACTACTAATGGGTAGGGAGTTTTTGGGGTGATGAAAATGTTCTGGAATTATAAATGGTGATGGTTACACAACTCTGTGAATATACTGAAAACCACTGAATGTGTGCTTTAAAAGTGAATTTTATGATATATGAATTCTATCTTAAAAACCAGTTAAAAAAAAAGTCTTCATCCATATTATTTTTTAAGCCTTGAACCCTCTCCAAACTTTGCCCCTGCCATTGTCAGTTGACTCTTACTTGTCCTCCTCATTCTATCCAAGACATCACTTCTTCCATTAAGTCCTTCTGATCTAGGTCTGAGATAGGTGCCCCTTCGATCTTGTGTACCTTTTACCCCTATCAGAGCACTTATGAACTGATCCATGATTTTTCTAAAACTGTCTCTCCCTTCCAGACTATTAAGGTTTCTCAGGATAGAGATTGCTTCTTTTGTCATTGTATCCCTAGTGTATGATACCATGGATAATACACAGCATGTGCTCACTACTTGTAAATCAAATTAAAATAACTAAAGGATTTACTTTCGAAGAACTTCCACCTGGGAAATAGTCCCATACAAAGGATCCCAAGAGTTGTACTGGGACCACTAAAACTTCAATGTACTTACTATTTCAAAGTTTATTAATGCCAACACATACTAAAGAACAATTCAAGGCCGGGCATGGTAGTTCATGCCTGTAATCCCAACAATTTGGGAGGCCAAGGCGGGTGGATCACCTGAGGTCAGGAGTTCAAGACCAGCCTGACTGACATGGAGAAACCCCGTCTCTACTAAAAATACAAAATTAGTCAGGCATGGTGGTGCATGCCTGTAATCCCAGCTACTCAGGAGGCTAAGGCAGGAGAATCACCTGAACTCGGGAGGCAGAGGTTGCGGTGGGCCAAGATTGCGCCGGGCTGAGATCGCGCCAGGCCAAGATCACGCCATTGCACTCCAGCCTGGGCAACAAGAGCAAAACTCCGTCTCAAAAAAAAAAAAAAAAGAAGAACAATTCAGACTTAAACCATGTTTTCTCAAGGTTTTGTGCTGTCTATTCACAATCACAACTTATCAGAAAGTTCCTATTAGTTCGATATTTTACCTTTAAAGAAAGAAAAAGTATGATTCAAGAGTGTGACTACAGCAATGGAATATCTGGCAAAACTGAGTCTGGAATTTTAAATCAACCATTAGCAATATGGAACATACCTGGCTTGATATTTAATCCAAATGAACATCTTTTATGAAGAGTCACTGGAGTTTGGTAGAAGCAACACTGGTACAAAAATCTGGCTGATCCAGGCTTGAATTCATGTTCTATTATTTATTTTATTATTATTATATTTTAATAGAGACAGGTTTCTGCTGTGTTGCCCAGGCTTGTCTGGAACTCCTGGGATCAAGCAATCCTCCTGCCTTGGCCTCCCAAAGTGCTGGGATTACAGGCATGGGCCACCATACCCGGCCCATGCTATATTGTTTAATAGCTGTTGCTACTTTGAGCAAGATAACCTCTCTGAATCTCAGTTTCTTTACACTTTATATGAAAACTATACTTTGCGGGATATTTTTAATGATGATGAAGGTATTTATATAAAGTGCCTTGCACAGACCTGATATGTAACTGCTCAATAAATGATAGCTATTATTATTCATCATCAAAAAAGCAATTTGTGTGAAAGAATTAGAACAGAAAGGCAAAGATGCAATTTGAACCATGAAACCAATCAGTGGACTAGTTTGTTTATACAATTAATAATCCATTAGGGCAACTGGTCTTAAGTGATCAACTCAAGTCTGAGCAATGAAACAGAAAACTAGGAACGAAAAAGTAACCTGATGTTCAACTTTCTGAAGAGGCTAAGTAAATTTGATCCTAAAAAGACACCCTTTGAATATGAACACCCTTACAGTGGCAGAAAAAAGAAATGAAATAAGCTCTGAAAAGAGCTTTATTCCTGCAGATCAAGACCAAAATACATTAAGAGAATAGGATCTGGGAAGCTGACATTGTTGCTTCCCCACATTCACACAGGGCTTCAATTTCCAGCATATCCATCTGGCATCTTTCACAAACATCAAATTCCCAGTCAAGAGCTATAAAGAACAAGGTGAGTGTTTTCACCTAGTTCACACCAAACAAAAAGCAGAGTAGTTTAACAAATATTGGAAAATGTGATAACAGACGTATCAAATATACATAGGCATTGAAATCGCTAGAACAGCAACTGATCTGCGATTGGGACTAAAAGAAGGAGCATGCTTAATTCTCACGTCTGGAGTAATCAGACTCAAAATGACATAAATTTGTATATACATGTCATAGGGACAGAAACTACTGAGATATACAACATCCCTGTGATGGTTAATTTTACATGTCAACTTGACTGGGACAAGGAATGCCTAAACATTTGATTAAATATTATTTCTGGGTGTGTCTGGGAGAATGTTTCCAGAAGAGATAAGCATTTGAATGGAACTGAGTACACCGGATTGCCCTCCCCATGATATAAATACATGCCTACATACATATATATAATTCTCTCTGTGTGTGTACACACATAATGAGACTTATCAAATGAAACTGACTCACAAAATTATGGAGGCTGACATATCTCATGATTTACTGTCTGCAAGCTAGAAACCTCTATCTCCGGGCCGCGCACAGTGGTTTGTGCCTGTAATCCCATCACTTTGGGAGGCCGAGGTGGGCAGATCACCTGAGGTCAGGAGTTCGAGAAGAGCCTGGCCAACATGGCGAAACCCCGTCTCTGCTAAAAATACAAAAATTAGCCAGGTGTGGTGGCAGGCACCTGTAGTCCCAGCTACTCAGGAGGCTGAGGCATGAAAATGCTTGAACCTGGGAGGTGGAGGTTGCAGTGAGCCGAGCCGAGATCATGCCACTGCACTCCAGCCTGGGTGACACCACGAGACTGTCTCAAAAAACAAAACAAAACAAAACAACAACAACAACAAAACAGAAACCTCTATCTCCTTCTGGTTCTGTTTCTCTGGAGAAACTAAAGTGGTATATAAATTGTTTATCCATGACTGAAATATTAATTAATACCATATTAGCCAAAGTCTGTATCTCCAATTTTGAGATGTTAGACATCTCTTGGATTATCTTTGCCAACAGAATTATAGAACTGTCTACCACCACGCCATACACACATATACTTTCATCACAAGATAAAACGCCATATTCAGGGAAAACCTATCCACCTAACCAGTTTATTAGCCTGGTGTGAGCTCCTAACCAGTTTATTAGCCTGGTGTGAGCTCCTGATCTAAGTTGAATGAATTACAGACCCTTCTATGCTATGCCTGAAAGATACAGCTACAATAGCTGCCTTTGGATTCTGTGAGATATTGTCATATCCTTATAACTGTTATTTTTTTTTCTAACTTAGCTCCAGTGGATTGCCTTAACCTGCAACAAGAATCTTAACAAATATATCCCAATAGTATGATATAAATTGAGGCAAATGGCATCAAAATCAGTTTCAACTTTAATTGGGCACCTATACCTTCAAAGATCAGACCCTAAACTGAGATATTCTATGTTCTACAAGTAGATAATAAACAAGGGATAAATTCATGGAAAGAGGGATGGGTCTTATATTTCGGATCATTCTAGGTGGCAATCTAACAGGGAGATATAATTTGTATACCACAAATTGTGTGAACCAAGAGTAACAACAAGAGTATACATAGACTTCCAGTTTCTAGTGCAGCATTTAAGTAGCTTGGAAGTCACTATTCTATCCGAACAACAAAGTAAAAAAACTGAAATATCAACAACTCTTCTTAGATGCATAAAAGAAGTGAGGTGGCCAGGCATGGTGGTTCACACCTGTAACCCAGTGCTCTGGGAGGCCAAGGCAGGAAGGCTGCTTGAGGCCAGGAGTTTGAGGCTAGTCTGGGCAACATAGCGAGACCCAGTCTCTATTTAAAAAAAAAAAAAAAATTTAATTAGCCAGGCATGGTGGTGCACACTTGTAGACCTAGCTACTCAGGAGACTGAGACAGAAGGATCGCTTGAGCCCAGAGTTCAAGGTTATAGTGAGTTACCACTGCACTCCAGACTCGGCAACAGAGTGAAACCCCATCTCTTAAAAAAAAACAAAAAGCTGGGTTTGGTGGCTTCACCCTGTAGTCCCAACACCCTGGGAAGCTGAGGTGGTCAGACAGCTTAAGCTCAGAAGTTCAAGATCAGCTTGGGCCACTTTGCAAAACCCTATCGCTACAAAAAATACAAAAATAGGCCAGGTGTGGTGGTGCACGGCTGTAGTCGCAGCTACTTGGGGAACTGAGGTGGGAAGATTGCTTGAGCCCAGGAGGGCGAGGCTGCAGTGAACCCAGATCATGCCACCGCACTCCAGCCTGGGCGACAGAATGAGGTCCTGTCTTCAAAAAAAAAAAAAAAAAAAAAAAATTCACAGCACAAACCCTGACCCAAATTCGAAGGGACAGACAGGTGAATACAAAAAAAGTCACAAATTACCTAAGCAGAAACCCACAAGCAGGAACCTCTGTGGGAACCAGATGTCGGGCAGAAAAGCTTGAATTATAATTGACAAATTGCTAGAGGCTTAGTGTGGACAACTCTGCGAGTTAAAAACTTCAAGGGGACTCCCACACTTTCGTGGGAAGCTTGACCTAGATCTCACAGCATCAAGGGGGAAATCCCCTCATTCTTCTGGCAGGGAAAGGGGAAAGGGAACCATTTTGAAATAAGCCAGAGCATTCTACTCTTTTTTCTTTTCTTTTTTTTTTGAGACAGGGTCTCGCTCTGTTGTCCAGGCTGGAGTGCAGTGGCGAGATCTCAGCTCACTGCAACCTTCACCTCCTGGGTTCAAGTGATCCTCCCACCTCAGCCTCTTGAGTAGCTGGGATTACAGGCACACGCAACCATGCCCAGCTAATTTTTGTATTTTTAGCAGAGACGGGGTTTCACCATTTTGGCCAGGCTGGTCTTGAACTCCTGACCTCAAGTGGTCTGCCCACCTCAGCCTCCCAAAGTGCTGGGATTAGCAGGCATGTGCCACCCCAGCCTAAGAGCATTCTATTCTTAATACGGTCTGCCCTCAGCAGAAACTATTTGACGAAAGCCTAACCTGCTGGGGTTATATCAGAGCCTAACTGACCTGGGGAAAGGAAACACCCAGCTCCAGCCCATTCTTGCTATCCTGTCCCCTCTAAACAGGGGAGAAAACTGAGAAGCACTTGTGAAGTTCACAGTCCAGGGGCAGAGGCTTGCTAAAAGACTGAGACTTAATCGTAGAACTATAGAATGCTCCCCTTCCCCCAACAGCTTATCACATTACTAAAGGCCTATTTTCAGCAGTTCCTCTTACTCAATATATCATGTCCAGCTATCAAGAAAAGATTACAAGGCATAAGGTTAAAAAAAAAAAAAAGTTTGAGGAGAAAGAGCAAACATCAGAACTAGATTCAGATATAGCAGAGATGCTAGAATTATCAGACCAGGAATTTAAAACAACTATAATTAATATGCTAAGGGCTATAACGGGTAGACAGCGTGCAAGAACAGATGGGCAATGAAAGTATAGAAAAATTCTAAGAAAGAACCAAAAAGAAATGCTAGAGATCAAAAACACGATAACAGAAATGAAGAATGCCTTTGATAGGCTTATTTAGGAGACAGGACATGACTGAGGAAAGAATCTCTAGTTTGAGGATATCTCAACAGAAACCTCCAAACCTGAAAAGCAAAGTGAAATAATAATAATAATAATAATAGAACAAAATACTCAAGAACTGTGGAACAACTACAAAGGGTGTAACATACGTGTAATAAGAATACCAGAAGGAAAAGAGAAAAAAATACTTGTAACTAAAATGACTGAAAATTTCCCCCAAATTAATGCCACGTACCAATTCCCAGATACAGAAAGTTCAGAGAACACCAAGCATGAAAAATGCCAAAAAAAACCTATACATAGTTATATTCAAACTATAGAAAATAAAAAAAAATTTTTTTAATCTCTTAAAAAAAAAAAAAAAAAAAAAAAGACGGGTCTGTAACCCCACCACTTTGGGAGGCCGAGGCAGGTGGATCATTTGAGGTCAGGAGTTCAAGACCAGACTGGCCAACATAGTGAAACCCCGTCTCTACTAAAAATACAAAAATTAGCCGGACGGTAGTGGCGCAAGCCTGTAATCCCAGCTACTTGGGAGCCTAATGCAGGAGTATCACTTGAGCCTGGGAGGTGGAGGTTGAGGTTAACCGAGATCAGGCCACTGCACTCCAGTCTGGGCAAAAGAGTGAGACACTGTCTTAAAAAAACAAAACAAAACAAAAAAACACTATACCTACGGAGGAGTAAAGAAAAGAATTACAACTAATTTATCCTAAGAAACCTAAACAAGGAGAAAGAGGAGTGAAGAAACCATATAAGCAAGAAGAAAGAGAAAAAAAAGACCAACCTAAAAATCTGTACCCCTATAAAATTGTCCTTCAAAAGTGAAGGAGATTATATTAATAATCACTTTGGGCTGTGCGCGGTGGCTCACGCCTGTAATCCCAGCACTTTGGGAGGCCAAGATGGGGGGATCACCTAAGGTCAGGAGTTCGAGACCAACCTGGCCCATGTGGCGAAACCCTGTCTCTACTAAAAATACAAAAATTAGCCAGGCATGGTGGTGCATGCCTGTAATTCCAGCTACTCAGGAGGCTGAGGCATGAGAATTGCTTGAACCTGGGAGGCGGAGGTTGCAGTGAGCCAAGATCGTGCCACTGCACTCCAGCCTGGGTGACAGAGTAAGACTTCATCTCAAAAAAATAAATAAATGAATACATAAAATAATTTTTTTTAAAAAAATTGCTTTGAAGGTCAATGGTCTAAATGCACCAATGAAAAGACACAGACTGTCGGAATGCATCAATAAATAAGACCTGGGCCAGGCACAGTGGCTCATGCCTGTAATTCTAGCACTTTGGGAGGCTGAGGCAGGTGGATCACTTGAGGCCAGGAGTTCAAGACCAGACTGGCCAACATAGTGAAACCCCGTCTCTACTAAAAATACAAAAATTAGCCGGACGGTAGTGGCGCAAGCCTGTAATCCCAGCTACTTGGGAGCCTAATGCAGGAGAATCATTTGAGCCTGGGAGGTGGAGGTTGAGGTTAACCGAGATCAGGCCACTGCACTCCAGTCTGGGCAAAAGAGTGAGACACTGTCTTAAAAAAACAAAACAAAACAAAAAAACACTATACCTACGGAGGAGTAAAGAAAAGAATTACAACTAATTTATCCTAAGAAACCTAAACAAGGAGAAAGAGGAGTGAAGAAACCATATAAGCAGGAAGAAAGAGGAAAAAAAGACCAACCTAAAAATCTGTACCCCTATAAAATTGTCCTTCAAAAGTGAAGGAGATTATATCAATAATCACTTTGGGCTGTGTGCGGTGGCTCACGCCTGTAATCCCAGCACTTTGGGAGGCCAAGATGGGGGGATCACCTAAGGTCAGGAGTTCGAGACCAACCTGGCCCATGTGGCGAAACCCTGTCTCTACTAAAAATACAAAAATTAGCCAGGCATGGTGGTGCATGCCTGTAATTCCAGCTACTCAGGAGGCTGAGGCATGAGAATTGCTTGAACCTGGGAGGCGGAGGTTGCAGTGAGCCAAGATCGTGCCACTGCACTCCAGCCTGGGTGACAGAGTAAGACTTCATCTCAAAAAAATAAATAAATAAATACATAAAATAATTTTTTTTTTAAAAATTGCTTTGAAGGTCAATGGTCTAAATGCACCAATGAAAAGACACAGACTGTCGGAATGCATCAATAAATAAGACCTGGGCCAGGCACAGTGGCTCATGCCTGTAATTCTAGCACTTTGGGAGGCTGAGGCAGGTGGATCACTTGAGGCCAGGAGTTCAAGACCAGCCTGGCCAACAGAGTGAAACCCTGTCTCTACTAAAAATACAACAAAATTAGCTGGGCATGGTGGCACACACCTGCAATCCCAGCTACTTGGGAGGCTGAGGCAGGAGAATGGCATGAACCCAGGGGGCAGAGCTTGCAGTGAGCCGAGATTGCGCCACTGCACTCCAGCCTGGAGACAGAGCAAGACTCTGTCTCAAAAAAAAAAAAAAAAAAAAATTACCAAAAACCCTCCAGGAATAAGTGACTATAGCAGGGTTACAGGATACAAGGTTAATATATAAAAGCCAATTACTTTCCTGTATACCACTGATGAATAAGTTGAAGTTAAAATTAAAAACACAATTTACATTAGCACCAAAATAAACAAAATACTTCTATATAAATATAACACAATATGTTCAAGATCTATATGAAAAAACAACAGAACTCTGATAAACACTATAAAAGAACCAAATAAATGAAAAGATATTCCATGTTCACGAACAGAAAGACTTAATATTGTCAAGATGTCATTTCTTCCTGACTTGATCTACAGATTCAACACAATCCCAGTCAAAATCCCAGAAAGTTATTTTATAAACATTGACAAATTGATCCTAAAATTTATATGGAGGAGAAAGACCCAGAATAACCAACACATTATTGACAGAGAAGAACAAAGTTAGAAGCCTAACACTACCCTACTTCAAGATATACTGTAATCAAGACAGTGTCAAATTGGTGATAGACAAATAAATCTATAAAACAGAATAGAGAGGCCAGAAAAAGACACACACAAATATAGTCAGCTGATCTTTGACAAAAAAGCAAAAGCAATACAATGGATCAGAGATAGTATTTTTACAAATGGTACTGGAACTAGACATCCAACATATAAAAAAAGATAAATCTAGACACAGACCCCTATACCTTTCACAGGAGTTAACTCAAAATGAATCAGAAAACTAAATATAAAACACAAAACTATTAAACTGCTAGAAGATAACAGTAGAAAATCTAGATGACCTTTGATTTGGCAATGACTTTTTAGACACAATACCAAAGGAATGATCTATGAAAACAAGAATTGATAAGGTGCACCTTCACTAAAATTAAAAATTTCTGCTCTGTGGCCAGGCACAGTGGCTTACATCTGTAATCCCAACACTTTGGGAGGCCAAAGTGGGTGGATCGCTTGAGCTCAGGAGTTCAACACCAGCATGGGCAACATGACAAAACCCTGTCTCTACAAAAAAAATATAAAAATTAGCCAGGCATGGTAGTATGTGCCTATAGTCCCAGCTACTCAGGAGACTGAGGTGGAAGAATGGTTTGAGCCTGGGAGGTCAAGGCTGCAGTGAGCTGTGATTGCACCACTGCACTCCAGCCTGGGTGACAGAGTGAGAGCCTGTCTAAAAAAAATAAAAAATAAAAAATAAAAATTCTGCTCTGCAAATGACACTGTTAAGAGGATGAAAAGACAAGCCACAGACTGGGAGAACATACTTGAAAAAGATTTATCTGATAAAGGTCTATTATCCAAAATGTACAAAGAACTTTTAAAACAATAATAAAAAAAAAAAAACTGGATCAAAAAACAGGCCAAAGACCTGTACAGACACTTCACCAAAGAAGGTACACAGATGGCAAACAGGCATTATGATAAGATACTCCACATTATTTGTTATAAGGAAAACACAAATTAAAATAACTATGAGATTCCACCACACACCTATTAGAATGGCCAAAATCAGAAACACTGACACCACCAAATGCTAGAGAGGATGTGGGTGCAACAGGGACTCTCATTCATTGTTGTGAGGATGCAAAATGGTACAGCCACTTTGGAAGACAGTTTGGCTGTTTCTTACAAAACTAAATATACTCTTAAAATATGATCCAGCAATCGTGCTCCTCAGTATTTACACAAAGGAGCTGAAAACATGTCCACACAAAAACCTGCACATAGATGTTTATAGCAGCTTTATTCATAATTGCCAAACTTAGAAGCAACTAAGATGTCCTTCAGTAGGTGAATGGTAGGTAAATAAAAGCTGTGGTACATCCATACAATAGATTCAGCACTAGAAAGAAGTGAGCTATTAAGCCACAAAAAGATATGGAAGAACCTTAAAGGCACATTTCTAAGTGAAAGAAGCCAATCTCAAAAGGCTACGTACTGTATGATTCCAAGTATGTGACGTTCTGGAAAAGTCGAAACTACAGAAATAGTAAAAAGATCCGTGATTGGCCAGGTACGGTGGCTCACTCCTGTAATCCCAGCACTTCGGGAAGCCGAGGCGGGTGGATCACGAGGTCAGGAGATCAAAACCATCCTAACACGGTGAAACTCCGTCTCTACTAAAAAAAATACAAAAAATTAGCCGGGCGTAGTGGCAGCGCCTATAGTCCCAGCTACTCGGGAGGCTGAGGCAGAAGAATGGCATGAACCCGGGAGGCGGAGCTTGCAGTGAGTCGAGATCGCGCCACAGCACTCCAGCCTGAGTGACAGAGCAAGATTCCATCTCAAAAAAAAAAAAGATCCGTGATTGTCAAAGACTAGGGGAGAGGAATGAATCGGCAGAGCAAAAAGATTTTTAAGGTGTTAAAACCACTCTGTATTATATCATTATGATAAATGACAACATTAAACATATGTCCAAACCCATAAAATATACAACACCATTGAGTAAACCCCAATGTAAATAATAATCTTTGGGTGATAATGATGTATCCATGTAGGTTCTTAAACTGAAACAATTGTGGAGGATATTGATAATGGCGGAGGCTATACGTGGGTGAGGGCAGGAGGTACACAGGAAATCTCTATTTTCCTCTCAATTTTGCTGTGAACTTGAAGTTGCTCTAAAAAACAAAGTCTACTAAAAAAGACAGAGTGTATATATAAAGCAGCGTTATGAATCACTACTGATCCAGTCAATGCAAGTGATATATTTCACTTACAAAGTACCAATTGGAAAACTAGCCAAATTGGTAGGTTCACAAAATCATATAGCCTAACACTTGCAGTAAAATTAGATCCTATGTATGCTCCTATCTTGACAACTCTTTGCGAGCATTTAGGGCATTGTTTCTAACTTTTAACCACATCAAATTTGAAAAGAACATAACCTGAATTGTCTCAGTCAAAGCTCAGGACAACAGTTAGATGAAACAAATCCATGCTCAAATTACTTATATTAAAGAACACTACAGGCTGGGCACAGTAGCCCATGCCTGTAAGGGAGGTCGAGGCAGGTGGATCACCTGACCTCAGGAGTTCGAGACCAGCGAAACCCCACATCTACTAAAAATACAAAAATTTTCTGAGCGTGGTGGTTGGGTGCCTGTAATCCTAGCTACTGTGGAGGCTGAGGCAGGAGAATCGCTTGAACCCGGGAGGCAGAGGTTGTAGTGAGCCGAGATAGCATCACTGAACTCCAGTTTGGGTGACAGAGTGAGACTCCATCTCAAAAAAAAAAAAAAACAAACAAAAAAAAACACTACAATATTATTTAATGACAACCCAAAGAAAATCTCTGCCTATAGGTGCTCTTCCAGTTTGGCTCCCTTTTCTTCCAAAGTCTTTACCACCTCCATTCGAATGACTCAGATTTCTATAAACATCACCTCTCACTCAAATTCTGAGGCCACAGCTTCACCTATCTGATATGAAATAGTTCTCCATCTGGTTGTTCCACTACACCTCAAATTTCAAACAGTGAACCCTTCACATTCAAGAGGAATATTTTCTCAAGAGAGTTGTCTACTTTCTGTGCATCCTCCTCTCCACCTTCTACTTATGCTCTCACTCTTCTCTGGCTTCCCCACCATTCTTGTTTCAAGTCACTGATAACTTCCATATTGTTAAAACTAATGGACACTTTTTGGTCCTAACTTCATCTGACATTTTAGCAACATTCAATTATTAGATCACATCCTCCTCCTTTATGAAACTCTTCTTCCATGACTTGTGTGATACTACAAATTCTTACTTTCTTCTATTTTTTTTTGACATCTATCTCTCATCTTCATCCCTGACTCCTCCTCTTCTACCCAATCTTAAATGTTGAAATTCCTCAGAGTTCTGTACTCAGTCCTCTTCTTTTCTCAATTTATACTGTTTTCCAAGAGAATTGTATCTACTATGATTGCTTCAAACACCATCTGTTAAGAAATTCCAATTTAAAAGAGTGACCTCTTTTCTGGGTTCTAAAGCTATACATCTAAGTGCCTACTCAATGTCTCCATGCTCCACACACATCTCAACACATACATCTATTTTCATACTAATCAATGTTTTCTTCTCTATTCTCTATATCATCTACCCAGTTGTTCACGCTATAGTAATTCTCTATCACTCCCTCTCCCCATAATGCTCACAATCAACATTAAATCATGTTCTCATTTAATGAAAACCAATTTACTTTTCTGTCTACAACTACTACCTTCATCCAAGCTACTATTATCTCACATCTGGATTACTGAAATACTATCTTCAATAATATTCTTATATCTACTTCTGCCTCCTCCTCCTCCAATCCATTCTCCATTCAGCTGTTAAACTTATATTTTGAAAGATCTATTCAAGTGATTCTTCTACCTGAAATTCTTCAATTGTTTGATATTAAATATATCTTGATAATAAAATTAAATATAATATCAAGACTCCTTACTAAGACCTTATGAGGTCTGGCACAATTTTAACACTTGCCTACCTCTCCAGTTTATACTTTTGTCACTTTCTTTTTTGCTTACTTCTCTACATCTACACTGACATCTTATTCCTCAAGAGTATCATGTTCTTTCCCACCTCTGATTCTTTATCCATGTGAATAAATGCTGAGATTTTATAAATTTACAAGTTAATAAATACCACTAAAAAATTTCTCCTATTAAATGCTATACAATTAATAATCAATCCTTCCAGGCTTTATTGATGTTTATCATGACCTCCAATTTACCAATTTTTTCTGAGACCGGGTCTTGCTCTGCTGCCCAGGCTAGAGTGCAATGGTGTGATCTTGGCTCACTGCAACCTCTGCCTCCTGGGTTCAAGCGATTCTCCTGCCTCAGCCTCCCGAGTAGCTGGGACTACAGGCACCCACCACCACACCTGGCTAATTTTTTGTATTTTTAGTAGAGACGGAGTTTCACCATGTTGGCCAGGATGGTCTTGAACTCCTGGCCTCAAGTGATCCACCCACCTTGGCCTCCCAAAGTGTTGGGATTACAGGCGTGAGCCCGGCCAACTTACCAATTTTTATAATGTGTTGATCTTCACACTCTTGACTTCTCTATCATTTCCATCAAGACTCCTTAAAAGAACCACTGTAAAATTTTCACTTCAACATTTAGCACATTCTAAATATGTGACAGAGCACTCACTGTTTGAGAGCTTTTGTAACATGGCATATGGTAAGATTTACTGGCCAGTAGTGTACAAGTCTACCAAGTTAGAGCTCAATGACAAACAATGTATGGGAGCACCCAGATTGTGGACAAATATAAGACTATACTGGCCGGGCACGGTGGCTCACGCCTGTAATCCCAGCACTTTGGGAGGCCAAGGTAGGCGGATCACGAGGTCAGGAGTTCGAGACCAGCCTGGCCAACATGGTGAAACCCCATCTCTACTAAAAAATACAAAAATTAGCTGGACTTGCTGCCGCGAACCTATAGTCCCGGCTACTCGGGAGGCTGAGGCAGGAGAATTGCTTGAACCCATGATGCGGAGGCTGCAGTGTGCTGAGATCGGGCCACTGCACTCCAGCCTGGGCGACAGAGTGAGACTCTGCCTTGGAGGGAAAAAAAAAAAAGACTATACTGAAACAGACTTCATGTATCTTTTAATGCTATTGCATTTATCAAAAACTTTCATAAACTAGTTAATACATTAATACTCTGTGTCCAAAATAAAAATAAAAAACACTCTGTGTCTATTTTGCAGAAAAGAAGAGAGGGAATAATAATATTTATTGACCACTTACTATGTACCAGACACTCTTCCAAGTGCTTTTTAGGTATTAAACTTTTACTTTTCTTTACAATCCTAAATAGTGGGTATAATTAGGCCCTCCAAGATGTATACTACAAGAGGGCAGAGATCTTCTCTTAATGCTCTTTGTTGCATTGCTGGCACCCAGAACAGTGTCTGGGATATATAGTAAGCAGTCAAATATTTGTTGAATGGATAATGAAGAAATGGAGGCAAAAAGAATTTAAGTGACTTGCACAAGGTCACACACAGTGACACAGCCAGAATTTGAATCTAGGCAATCTGGTTTCACGTCTCAGATTCTTAACCACTAGGTATGTATATATTTGGAAACAACATTCCTCCTTTACCTCTTTTCACCCTTTAGAAATATTTTCAGTGTAAAAAATGCTTCCATGAGCTAGAAGCTGTGCTCACTGTTTTGCAAAGAAAAGAGAAAGAGAAAAAGGAAAAGAAAAAATATAGTTTAATAACATATAAACACTATAGTATATCTGAATTTATTAATACTCCCACTACAGATGCAGTAAGCACTACAGAGCAGGGAGAGAGGTATAGGTTAACAGGTTACTACCATGGATTTTAAAAATACATACATGTCTATTGTTATATATTATTATAATATATTCATACATGCTATTTAGCATAGCATTATAATCAATCAGCACTACACAGTGCAGTATTAAATAAGTCATGCATGTACATCTAGACTTGCTGTCTTTTTAAATAGCTGAATAGCATTCCATTAAATAGACATATAATACTACAATTTAGCTCTTATCCCTATCAATAAGCCTTTAGATTGCTTCCATGTTTTTATGCTTATCAACAATATAATGAATATCCTTGTACCTGTATCTTTACCCTTTAACGTGCAATAAATATCTAAAAGCAAAGTTTGAGAGAAAGGTAGTGCACATTTTAAATTTTAATAAATACTGCCAAGTTTTCCACCAAACATGCTGTTTGTTTTTATTTCCTCAAATGGGTATATACAAGAATTTTTTCTTCATGCTCTAATCATTATTGAATAAAATCAATCTTTTACCAATCTCACAGGTAGTAAATGGAACTTTATTTTCTAATTTGTATTTTTCATTATGAATAAAAGCTAAACATCTATTTATATCTTTCATATGTTTATTGGCCTTTCTGCAAACTGCCTACAAATATTCCTTATATGTATCATGTTTAGAATCTTAGTCTCAGTTTAATGTTTGAGTGAGGTTTTTTTTTATATGAAGGTCTTCCATTTTATGTAGTCAAATTCACCAATCTTCATTTTTGGCTTCTGTATTTCATATCATGCTTAGAAAAAGCCTTTTTTATACCAATATTATGAACACATTAGCCTATGTTTTCTATGCTATTTTCATGTTGCTTTTGTTTGCTTCGCTCTTTCATCATCTAGAATCTATTTTGGTGGGGAAGGCTCTATAACTTGTTTTTCTCACTCAATGATATATCCTAGATATCTTTCCAGATAAACTACTTTGTTTGTTTTTGAGATGGAGTCTGGCTCTGTCGCCCAGACTGGAGTGCAGTGCCACGATCTCAGCTCACTGCAACCTTCGCTTCCTAGGTTCAAGAAATTCTCGTGCCTCAGCCGCCCGAGAAGCTGGGATTACAACTACTTTAATTGTACACATAGAATTCTAAAATATAACCATATCATAATTTTCCTGTTATTTATCAGTTATATAAAGCACGAATAAGCATTTACATTTTCCCCTATTTTTCAACGATTACCAAGAATGCTCCCATTAACACCCTTGTATATGCCTCCTTGGACACATGTGTGTGTGTGCGCGCGTGCGTGTGTGTTTGAAGATAAACATTAAGACATTAAGATGCACAATTACTGAGTCATTAGTGTGTATCTTTTTTTTTTTTTTTTTTTTTTTTTGAGACAGAGTTTTGCTCTTGTTGCCCAGACTTGAGTGTAGTGGCACGATCTCGGCTCACTGCAACCTCCTTCTTCCCGGTTCAAGCAATTCTCCTGCCTCAACCTCCTGAGTGGCTAGGATTACAGGCGCCTGCAACCATGCCCAGCTAATTTTTGTATTTTTAGTAGAGACGGGGTTTCACCATGTTGGCCAGGCTGGTCTCGATCTCCTGACCTCAGGTGATCCACCTGCCTTGGCCTCCCAAAATGCTGGGATTACAGACATGAGCCACCACACCCGGCCATGTGTATCCTTTTTTTTTTTTTTTTTTTTTGATACTGACAAATTACCCTCCAAAATGATGTGCCTAATATGCTTTTGTTTTAAAATTAATTACCTGTATCCATTCACTCAACAGGTATTTAAATGTTTTCTTTCTGTTAGGCACTGTTCTAGAGGCTGGGTACACAGCATAATAGCCAACCCAGACAAGGGCACTACTCTGGTGATGAAGAGTGCAGGCTTTAAACTGTGCTGGGTAGTCCCAGGTACTCAGGAGGCTGACGCAGGAGGACTGTTTGAGCCCAGAAGTTGGAGTCCAGCCTAGGCAACAACAAAAAAGAGTGCAGGCTCTAGACACTGACTGCCTGAGTTCAAATGGGGGTTCAATAAGCATGAGATGTCTGACCTTGGACATCTATTCTTGTGCCTCAAGTCCCTTATCAATAAAACAGTAATAATAATAATAGTACCTATCTCATAGGATTGCTGTGGATTGTTCTGCCTACAGTTTAGAAAGTACTCAAAGATTTCTTATTACTTAAATTTGCTATTACTATTATTTTTGCCAATGAGAGGCAGAAATAATGTTTCATTATGGGATCATCATTTTCCTGATAAAAAGTAAGACTGAACATATATTTTTACTTTTTTAGCCTTTTGAATTTCCCATTCGATGACCTCCTGTTCAAATTCTTTGTCCATTTTTTTCTGTTATGATGTTTGCATTTTTCCTTAATGATCTGTCAGAGTCTTTACATATCCTGTGCATTAATCCTTTGACTGTTAAATATGATGCAAATATTTTCTAGTATGACACCTATGCTCTGACCCATGGGCTGTCAGGTTTTGTTTGTGGCCAAATCACAAGGATGGCAGAATTGACTACTGTTTTGCCAAGAGAATTTCAAGTCCTGCTCTCTACTTTAAAAGGTTTGTAATTACTTAGATTTAAGGGAAGGAGGTAGCAAATACCCTCTAAGCAACTGACAGTATAAGCCAAAGGCTTAGGAGCAATTTCTAACTTATCTACTCTTGTCTCCTAAATACCTGGTACACGGTCTTATACATAATAGACTCCGGATGAACAAGCATGTTTGAATGCAGCAGAATCTCCTTACTAGGTTACACACTTCTTATGGGTAATGATGGTGTCAAACTTACCTTGGTATCACTCCCACAATGCCTAAAAGTGCTTTTACACAGAAAAAGCACTCAAATGTTTTTATAGGATAGATTGCCATCTCTGAACATACATGAAAGTAGCCAAAGTAATCAATGTAAAACAAAGCAATCCCCTCCTCTAAGATTACACCCTGATTTGCAGTGGCAGGTAGCTCTGCACAGAGTCTGATGTTTGGGTATCTTCCTCTTAAATTCACTGTGTTTCAGGTGCTTGTTCTAGAAAAAAAAAAAAGCCCCTGCCAATTACTGTGTCCTAAGCCTGTCTAGATGCTGTTAAGACCATGTCCATTTAATATTTTTCATGTTTTAGTCTCTCTCCAAATTTCTTCTCACTACCATTATTTAACAATAAGTCCATTTCAGCACACTAGACACAGCTTTTGGGTCTCTGGATTTTATTCTTTTCCCACATACCATTCCCTGGTTGAGCTCTCCTTTGCTAAGTGCCGCTAGACTGGTTTCTTTCCAGGATATCACTCTTGGTGATCTAGCCTTACAGTTTCATGAGAAATCACGAGACAATGTGGTGTAATGGAAAAAGTGCAGGATTGTTGGAGCCAAATGATCTGGGTTTGTGTACTGGTTCAGCCATTTACTAACTATATGACCTGAATAACCCTAAGTATCAGTTTCCCTACTTTCAAATGGGGATAATATCTAACCCATCTGGGTCATAGGACTGTGGTAAGGATTAGAAAATTAGATGACAATGCAGAAATACTTCATAAAGAATTCTACAAATATATGTCATTATATGAAATATGGCTCAAAGAAGTATCAGTAAAAGGACTCCACCAGACAAGTCACTTCATGAGGGCAAGTGTCTGACTGGGTCATGGCTGCATCTTCAAAGCCTGGCATATTTGTTGAAAGAATGACAGAATGAAAAGAGAACTTTTCAGTGACCTTAGCCAAATTAATAAATCTCTGGGCTCTGGGTTTCAATTCCCTCATTTGTAAAGTAAGAACACTATCTCCCACCTCAAAATATTGCTATGAAGATTAAAAGGAAATAATATTCATTGACCGGGCATGGTGGCTCACGCCTGTAATTCCAGCACCTTGGGAGGCCAAAGCAGGTGGACTGCTTGAGTCCAGGAGTTCAAGACCAGCCTGGGCAACATGGTGAAACCCTGACTCTACAAAAAAATACAAAAATTAGCCAGGCATGGTGGCATGCATTTATAGTCCCACCCACTGGAGGCGTTAGGGGGCTAAGGCAGGAAGATCACTTGAGCCACGGAGGTTGAAGCTGCAGTGAGCTGGGATCATGCCACTGTACTACAGCTGAAGGAAGGAAGGAAGGAAGGGAGGGAGGAAGGGAATGAATATCCATAAAATATAATAGATATTTATCTATTTGCTTCTTCCTGTCAAGCCAGATATAGTTTAAGACTTGGTTGTATAAAAAGTAGATGCTATTAATAGTTACTGACACAAATTCTTCTAGGGAAAGTCAAGAAATATTACTATCTTCTACCCTTTAATCTCAATAAAAATTAATATACTGACAAAGTGATTTAAGTACTTTATCTCAGCCATGTTTAAAGTGCTGCAGTTCACTGTGACTCACATACACACAGACCCTTATAATGAACCACAGCCCCAATGAAGTCAAGAGCCTTCTCAGAGACAAGTGCTTCTTTATGTAATCCAGACATGACAATCTACTATTGATGAAACTGAAAATCTTTTAAGCATCTAATCCATATCAAAACAAGCTCCACTTATTGGTCACAGCACATGAGACAGAAACATTGTTTTATTTAGTCATCAACAGTATTAACATACAGAGAATCTAATCCATATTGTGCATAATTTTGATGCACAATAAAATTAAAACCAAAGCACCTAACGGAACCCCAAAGTACACTAAGCATAAACTGACAGAACTGAAGTGAGAAATAGACAATTCAACAGTAACAGTTGAAGCTTTGCCACATCCACTGCAAGAATGAAAACAATTCTCAGCAATCAGGCTATTGACATTCCAGAAAATGTCAACATCATTCTGAAGAAACATACAGGTATTATGAAGGAACCCAGAGGTACCCTGCAGAGGGACATCAACGTAAAACACAATCTTATTGGAAACAAAAAGTAGCAGCTCCAAGTTGATAAGTGGTAGAAAAATGGGAACTGGCTACCGTTTGCACTTTTTGTAGTCATGTACAGAACATGATCACGGGTGTTATACTGGGCTTACGAAATGAGGTCTATATATACTCACTTCTCATCAACATAGTTATCCAAGAGAATGGGTCTCAAAATTCAAATTTTCTTGGGTGAAAAATACATCTGCAGGTTTCAGAAGAGGCCAGGTGTTGCCTGTTTAGTATCCCAAGCCCAGGATACTAACACAATTCCATAAGGAAAGAACATTTTTCAACAAATGGTGTTGGATGTTCACATGCGCAAGAATAAAGTTGGACCTACCTCACACCATATACAAAAATTAACTCAAAATGGATAAGAGATCCAAATATAAGAGCTAAAACTCTTCAAAGAAAACATAGGAGCAAATCTTTGTGGACTTGCACTAAGCAATATGACACCAAAAGCACAAGTTTAAAAAAAAAAAAACAACCTAAGGCCAAGTGCGGTGGCTCACACCTGTAATCCCAGCACTTTCAGAGGCTGAGTGAGGCAAATCACTTGAGGCCAGAAGTTTGAGACCAGCCTGGCCAACATGGCAAAACCCCATCTCTACTAAAAATCAACAAATTAGGCCGGGCTCAGTGGCTCGCACCTGTAATTCCAGCACTTTGGGAGGCCGAGGTGGGTGGATCATTTGAGGTCAGGAGTTAGAGACCAGCCTGGCCAACATGACAAAACCCCATCTCTACTAAAAATACAAACATTAGTCAGGCATGGTGGAGCACGACTGTAATCCCAGCTACTTGGGAGGCTGAGGCAGGAGAATCACTTCAACCCAGGAGGCAGAGGTTGCAGTGAGCCTGGATCGTGCCACTGCACTCCAGCCTGGGTAACAGAGTGAGATCCTATCTAAAGAAAAAAAAAAAAATAGGCTGGGCATGGTGGCTCATGCCTGTAATCCTAGCACTTTGGGAGGCTAAGGTGGATGGATCACTTAAGGTCAGGAGTTCAAGACCACCCGGGCCAATATGGTGAAACCCCATCTCTACTAAAAATACAAAATTAGCCAGGCGTGGTGGTAGGTGCCTGTAATCCCACCTACTCGGGAGGCTGAGGCAGAAGAATCACTCGAACCTGGGAGGCAGAGGTTGCAGTGAGCCGAGATCATGCCACTGCACTCCAACGTGGGCAACAAAGCAAGACTCCATCTCAAAATAAATAAATAAATAAATAAAAATAAAATAAAATAAGACAGTGGTGATTACCGCATGACTGTGAAAACTACTGAAAGTAATTCACAACTGAAAACTACTGAATTCTACACTTTGAACAGGTGAATTTTGTTATAAAGCTATCTTAAAAACATAAAAAAAAAGCTATCTTAAAAACAAGAACTAAAACTAGAAATACTGTAATTCTGATCCGCCTGACCTTAACATTGGTATTCTACCATGTACCTCAGTCTACTATATAAACCAATGCAACTCATCTTCAATTATAAGATAGAAAAATTAGCAGCCAGTCCTCTCATACCTATAAATTCATTTTATAGGCTACAAAACTATTTTTTGTACAAAATTACAAAACTATTATTTTTAATGAAATCATATTATTCAAAATATTCATCAAATGCCAATTCTAACTGTTGGATAAACTAGGCAATTTTATTTTAAAAATTTTTTAACTTATATTTTAGGTTCAGGGGTACAAGTGCAGGTTTGTTATACAGGTAAACTCATGTCACAGGGGTTTATTGTACAAATTATTTTGTCACCCAGGTAAAGGCCTAGTACCTAATACTTATTTTTTCTGATCTTCTCCCTCCTCCCAGCCTCCACCCTCCAGTAGGACCCAGTGTCCGTTGTTCCCCTCTTTGTGTCTGTGTGTTCTCATCATTTAGCTCTCACTTATAAGTAAGAACACGTGGTATACGGTTTCTGTTCCTGCATTAGTTTCCTAAGTACAACGGCCTCCAGCTCCATCCGTGTTCCTGCACAGCATATGGTCTCATTCTTTTGTATGGCGCCATAGTATTCCATGGAGTATATGTACCTCATTTCCTTTATCCAATATGCCATTGATAGGCATTTAGGTTGATTCCATGTCTTTGCTATTGTGAATAGTGCTGCAATGAACATATGCATGCATGTGTCTTTATGCTAGAACAATTTATATTCCTTTGGGTATATACCCAGTAATGGGATTGCTTGGTCAAATGATAGTTCTGTTTTTAGCTCTTTGAGGAATCACAAAACAAGGGAATCACTGTGGAAAGGAATCGTTTTCCATAATGGCTGAACTAATTTACACTCCCACCAACAGTGTATAAGAATTCCCTTTTCTCCACAACCTTGTCAGCATCTGTTATTAATTGACTTTTTAACAATAGCCACTCTGACTGGTGTGAGATGGTATCTCACTGAGGTTTTGGTTTGCATTTCTCTAATGATCAGTGATGGTGAGCTTTCCTTCATATGCTTGTTGGTCGCACATGTATGTCTTCTTTTGAAAAGTGTTCATGTCCTTTGCCCACTTTTTAATGGAGTTGTTTTTCTCTCATAAATTTGTTTAAGCTCCTTTTAGATGCTAGATATCAGACCTTTGTCAGATGCATAGTTTGCAAAAATTTTCTCCCATTCTGTAGTCTGTTTACTCTGTTGGTAGTTTGCTGTGCAGAAACTCTTAAGTTTAATTAGATGCCATTTGTCAATTTTTGCTTTTGTTGCAATGGCTTTTGGTGTCTTCATCATGAAATCTTTGCCAGTTCCTATGTCCAAAATGTATTGCCTAGGCTGTCTTCCAGGGTTTTTATACTTTTGGGTTTTACATTTAAGTCTTTAAACCATCTTGCATTGATTTTTGTGCATGGTATAAAGAAGGGGTCCAGCTTCAATCTTCTGCATATGGCTAGCCAGTTATCCCAGCACCATTTATTGAATAGGCAGTCCTTTCCCCATTGCTAGTTTTTGTCAGCTTTTGTCAAAGATCAGATGGTTGTAGGTATGGACCTTATTTCTGGGCTCTCTATTCTGTTCCATTGGTTTACGTGTCTGTTTTGTGTTAGTACCATGCTGTTTTGGTTACTGTAGCACTGTAGTATAGTTTGAGTGGGGTAATATGATGCCTCCAGCTTTGTTCTTTTTCCTGAGGATGCCCTTGGCTTTGGGGCTCTTTTTTGGTTCCATATGAATTTTAAAATATTTTTTTCTAGTTCTGTGTAGAATGCCATTGATAGTTTGATAGGAATATCATTGAATCTGTAAGTTGCTTTGGACAGTATGGCCATTTTAATGATATTGATTCTTCCTATCCATAATCATGGAATGTTTTTCCATTTGTTTGTGTCATCTCTGATTTCTTTGAGCAATATTTTGTAATTCTCATTGTAGAGATCTTTCACCTCCCTGGTTAACTGTATTCCTACGTATTAATACTTTATTCTTTTTGTGCCAATTGTGAATGGGATTGCGTTTCTAATTTGGCTCTCAGCTTGGCTGCTGTCAGTGTCTAGGAATGCTAGTGATTTCTGTGTTTATTCTGTATCCTGAAACTTTGCTGAAGCTATCAGCTGAAGGAGCTTTTGGGCCAAGACTATGAGGTTTTCTAGATATAGAATCATGTCATCTGCCAACATGGATGATAGTTTTACTTCTTTTCTTCCTATCTGGATGCCCTTTCTTTCTCTTCCCTGATCTCCCTGGCCAGGACTTCCAATACTGTGCTGAATAGGAGTAGTGAAAAAGGGCATCCTTGTCTTGTGCCAGTTTTCAAGGGAATGCTTCCAGCTCCTGCCCATTCAATATGAGGTTGGCTGTGGGTTGGTCATAGACGGCTCTTATTATTTTAAGGTATGTTCCTTCAATACCTAGTTTACTGAGAGGCTTTTTTGTTGTTGTTTTTTGGGTTTTGTTTTGTTTTTTTTTTTTTGAGACAGAGTCTCGCTCTGTCACCCAGGCTGGAGTGCAGTGGCATGATCTTGGCTCACTGAAACCTCCACCTCCCAGGTTCAAGCAATTCTCCTGCCTCAGGCTCCCAAGTAACTAGGATTACAGGTGCCTGCCACCAAGCCCAGCTAATACTGTATTTTTAGTAGAGATGGGGTTTCACCATGTTGGCCAGGCTGGTCTTGAACTCCTGACCTCAAGTGATCCACCCGTCTCGGCCTCCCAAAGTGCTGGGATTATAGGCATCAGCCACTGCACCCAACCAGGATATTGAATTTTATCAAAAGCTTTTTTTTTTTTTTTTGAGACGGAGTCTCACTCTGTCCCCAGGCTGGAGTGCAGTGGCGCAATCTCGGCTCACTGCAACCTCTGCCTCCCAGGTTCAAGCGATTCTCCAGTCTCAGCCTCTCAAGTAGCTGGGACTACAGAAACACCACCATGCCCAGCTAATTTTTATATTTTTAGTAGAGATGGGGTTTCACCATGTTGGCCAGGATGGTCTCGATTTCTTGACCTTGTGATCTGCCCGCCTTGGCCTCCAAAAGTGCTGGGATTACAGGCGTGAGCCACCGTGCCCGGCCATCAAGAGCCTTTTCTGCATCTAACCAATTTTATTTTTAACAAAGGATTTAAAAGTGCTTAGCAATACTCTATATTAAAACTTCCAACTCAATAAATAGCATATCTTACTTATTTGGTTTATTAATTAGGGACTAATACTCTACAGCTACTTAACAGAGCTAAGCAATAGAATTTTAGACATTCCTCAATAACATTTCCCAGGCTTATAATTTCATTTTTAATTTCATTAAAAATACACTAACCATTGATAATTTTGTCAGAATAAGTCTTTCCATGGGAATTTACAATCTTTTAGCATGGTGTGGCATTAGAAAACTTGCTTAGCTTCTACCTGTTTTTTTCTCTTCTTAAATGAGGATAATAAAAATATCTGTTCCAACCCTTTGTTAATGAAAATTAAAAAAGAAAGCACTCTGTAAGGTATAATTATTACTCCCTCTTCAATGAAAAAGCTGAACTAGTAGGTATTAAATTGTTGAACACCTCTTAAGAAAAGCATAAACCTGGGATGAGTGTTAGCAAGTGGGGAGATAGTACTGCAATGCGGAGGCAGACCCAAAGGTTCCACTCCCAAGCAAACAAACAAAAAATGTTGTACGTCATCAGACTTGGCAAAACATTTTATCAATTCTTTTTTTGTTTTGTTTAGCTTAGAGATAGAGACTCAGTATGCTGCCCAGACTGGTCTTGAACTCCTGAGCTCAAACAATCCTCCCCCTTGTCCTCCCAAAGTGCTGGGATTACAGGCATGAGCCACCGTGCCCAGTCTTTGTTTTGTTTTTGAGATGGGGTCTTGCTATGTTGTCCAGGCTGGTCTCTAACTCCTGGCCTCAGGTGATCCCTCCTCCTCAACCTCCCAAGCATCTGGGATTATAGGTCACCGCACTCAGTTTTTCAATTCTTTTACACTGAACATTAGCAGCTATTTAAATCTAAAGGATGGTCATCTGGAATAATCGTCCTGGATAGTCAAAGAGGAATTTGTTTCTTTGTTGTCACATTAAGTATCTGATTGAGGACCCACCCCCGCCCACCCCCGCTCCCCACCACCCGCCACCCAAAAATGGAAAAGGCTGACTTCAAAATTATTTTCCTGGCCAGATGCGGTGGCTCACACCTGTAATCCCAGAAATTTGGGAGAAAAAGGCAGGTGGATCACCTGAGGTCAGGAGTTCAAGGCCAGCCTGGCCAACATGAGGAAACCCCATCTCTACTAAAAAATACCAAAAAAAAAAAAAAAAAAAAAATTAGCTGGACTTGGTGGCAGGCGCCTGTACTCCCAGCTACTTGGGAGGCTGAGGTACAGAAGAATCACTTGAACCCAGGAGGCAGAGGTTGCAGTGAGCCAAAATCATGCCACTGCACTCCAGCCTGGGCAACAAGAGTGAAAATCCATCTCAAAATATATATATATATATCTATATATATAAATATATATATATAATGACACTTGTCATTAAAGAAATGCCAAAAGGACAAATAGAACCATGAAATGACCTAATTTAAAGCTGCCAACTAAAAAGGTGAACTATATCAAATCACCTGACCGTTGTGTGAATTTATGACATAACTCCATGATGTCCTCTCTGCAGCCCTACTCTACCTTACTGTGTCTTTTAAAAATTATTTTTATAAAAAGAAAAGCTTGGCCAGGTGCGGTGGCTCACGCCTGTAATCCCAGCACTTTGGGAAGTCGAGGTGGGTGGATCACAAGGTCAGGATCATGCCACTGCACTCCAGCCTGGGTGACAGAGTGAGACTCCATCTCAAAAAAAAAAAAAAGAAAGATAGAAAAGAAAAGCTCTGACAAGCTTATACATTAAAGACACAGCTGAGGCTGGACGCGGTGGCTCACGCCAGTAATCCTAGCACTTCGGGAGGCCGAGGCGGGTGGATTGCCTAAGCTCAGGAGTTTGAGACCAGCCTGGGCAACATGGTGAAATCCTGTCTCTACTAAAATACACAAAAAAATTAGCCGGGTGTGGTGGCACGCACCTGTACTCCCAGATACTCGGAAGGCTGAGACAGGAGAATTACTTGAACCCGGGAGGCAGAGGTTGCAGTGAGCTGAGATCGCACCACTGCACTCCAGCCAGGGAAAAAGTGAGACTCCAGCTCAAAAACAAACAAATAAATACATAAATAATTTTGAATAAAATTAATAACTCAAAAGGCAAAAGTACAAACACAGGTCTCAATTTCCTCATATGTTTAATAAAGAAACTGGTCTAGAAAATCTCTTAGTTTCCTATGACTTCTAAAATTGAGTTTGAGTATTCTATATGTTGGTGATTGCTATAAGTTACAACAAACATATATCCCAAACATTCATAGTCTACTTAACTGGTTTACTTCCCAATATATACGTTAATTAATTTTGAAACAATCTACTTTACAACATACTCTAAGTGCCTGTGTCCTCTGTCTTTTCAACCTTTCCCTTTTACGGTCTGTAAACATCCTCAACATCTTTTGATAACAAACATTAAAACCTCTCCTTCAACCCTACATTTCCCTCTAATTACTGCCCTTTCGCCTTCTTTTCACAGCCACATTCTTTTAAAAGAAAAAAATTACTGACCTTTACTTACTTTCAATTCTTACTTTCAATCTACTAAAACTGCTCTACCTAAGGTCATCAATGACTTTCTAATTGCCAATCCTAATAGACACCTTATTTTTTTTAATTTATTCACATTTAAAACTAAATATTCTTTTTATAGTTATATGTCAAAAAATAGTGACTAGGTTTTATGGCTTACTTAAAATATAAATGAGGAAAATACACATGTGCCATACCAATAGCTGGTTTTATTTTTTTTTTAAAGGAAATACTATAATTTAAAAAAGAGTTCCAAAATATTTATTTTTTTTTATTTTTTATTTTATTTTTTATTGATCATTCTTGGGTGTTTCTCGCAGAGGGGGATTTGGCTGGGTCACAGGACAATAGTGGAGGGAAGGTCAGCAGATTAACAAGTGAACAAAGGTCTCTGGTTTTCCTACGCAGAGGACCCTGCAGCCTTCCGCAGTGTTTGTGTCCCTGGGTACTTGAGATTAGGGAGTGGTGATGACTCTTAACAAGCATGCTGCCTTCAAGCATCTGTTTAACAAAGCACATCTTGCACCGCCCTTAATCCATTTAACCCTGAGTGGACACAGCACATGTTTCAGAGAGCACAGGGTTCGGGGTAAGGTCATAGATCAACAGGATCCCAAGGCAGAAGAATTTTTCTTAGTACAGAACAAAATGAAAAGTCTCCCATGTCTACTTCTTTCTACACAGACACAGCAACCATCTGATTTCTCAATCTTTTCCCCACCTTTCCCCCTTTTCTATTCCACAAAACCGCCACTGTCATCATGGCCCCTTCTCAATGAGCTGTTGGGCACACCTCCCAGACGGGGTGGTGGCCGGGCAGAGGGGCTCCTCACTTCCCAGTAGGGGCGGCCGGGCAGAGGCGCCCCTCACCTCCCCGATGGGGCAGCTGGCCGGGCGGGGGGCTGACCCCCCACCTCTCTCCTGGACGGGGGGCTGACCCCCCCACCTCCCTCCGGACGGGGCAGCTGGCCGGGCGAGGGGCTGACCCCCTCGCCTCCCTCCCGGACGGGGCGGCTGGCCGGGCGGTGGGCTGACCCCCTCGCCTCCCTCCGGGACGGGGCGGCTGGCCTGGCGGTGGCTGACCCCCACCTCCCTCCCCGACGGGGTGGCTGCCGGGCGGAGACGCTCCTTACTTCCCAGACGGGGTGGCTGCCGGGCGGAGGGGCTCCTCGCTTCTCAGACGGGGCGGCTGCAGGGCGGAGGGGCTCCTCGCTTCTCAGACGGGGCGGCCAGCCAGAGACGCTCCTCACCTCCCAGACGGGGTCGCAGCCAGGCAGAGGCGCTCCTCACATCCCAGACGGGGCAGCGGGGCAGAGGCGCTCCCCACATCTCAGACGATGGGCGGCCGGGCAGAGACGCTCCTCACTTCCTAGATGGGATGGCGGCCGGGAAGAGGCGCTCCTCACTTCCTAGATGGGATGGCGGGCGGGCAGAGACGCTCCTCACTTTCCAGACTGGGCAGCCAGGCAGAGGGGCTCCTCACATCCCAGACGATGGGCGGCCAGGCAGAGACGCTTCTCCCTTCCCAGACGGGGTGGCGGCCGGGCAGAGGCTGCAATCTCGGCACTTTGGGAGGCCAAGGCAGGCGGCTGGGAGGTGGAGATTGTAGCGAGCCGAGATCACGCCACTGCACTCCAGCCTGGGCACCATTGAGCACTGAGTGAACCAGACTCCGTCTGCAATCCCAGCACCTCGGGAGGCCGAGGCTGGCGGATCACTCGCAGTTAGGAGCTGGAGACCAGCCCGGCCAACCCAGCGAAACCCCGTCTCCACCAAAAAAATACGAAAACCAGTCAGGCGTGGCAGCGCGCGCCTGCAATCGCAGGCACTCAGCAGGCTGAGGCAGGAGAATCAGGCAGGGAGGTTGCAGTGAGCCGAGATGGCAGCAGTACAGTCCAGCTTCGGCTCGGCATCAGAGGGAGACCGTGGAAAGAGAGGGAGAAGGAGACCGTGAGGGAGAAAGTGAGGGAGAGGGAGAGGGAGAGGGAGAGGGACGAGTTCCAAAATATTTAACAGAATTTCCAGCAATGATTATTTCTACCTTTTTTTTTTTTTTTTTTTTTGAGACGGAGTTTTGCTCTTTGTTGCCCAGGCTGGCATGCAATGGGGTGATTCAGCTCACTGCAACCTCCGCCTCCCAGGTTCAAGTGATTCTCCTGCCTCAGCCTCCTGAGTAACTGGGATTACAGGCATGCGCCACCACGCCCGGCTATTTTTGTATTTTTAGTGGAGACAGGGTTTCTCCATGTTGGTAAGGCTGGTATCGAACTCCCAACTTCAGGTGATCTGCCTGCCTCAGGCTCCCAAAGCACTGGGATTACAGGCGTAAGCCACCGCGCCCGGCCCAGCAATGATTATTTCTAAAATGTAAAGATTTGAAACATAATTTGTACAAAACTAAAAACCAGAAGAATTCATTCTTACTTTATCCTTTTTTAAAAAATCCAGACAATTTGTCACAAGAAAGTGATAGCAGCTGCAGCCTCAGTCACCCTCAGAATCACTGTCCCTCTTCATGGGGACAGAGCATTGCACTGAGGACAGCAATACATCTTCAACTGGCTTCTTAGGGTTTTCCTCCAGGTCCCTCTTAATTGCTCCAGATTCAGACAGTTTTCACTGCAACTCATCTCTTGTCAGGTTAATGCCGCCAAACACCAGAGGACCAATAAACTGAGCCTTGATATCTCCTTCCACGTAAACAAATATCATGGGCAGATTCCTATCAGGATAACTGGGTATGCAGGTTGTTGAAATGGCTTTGATAAATTTGACATCAGGAAACTTCCTGGCAACTCCACTGAGGTGCTGATTTATCAGGGCACAGAGGGGAATTCCTTGTTTGTAAAGGTGCAAGACGACCCACAAACCCTCACTGGCTTTGGTAACTTCTTGAACATAATCCTTCCCTGAGATCTCCAAAACTTCTTCAAATTTATTCTTCAATTTAGTTGCTTTCCACTCAGCCAGTCTCTGCTGTCTGTACATTTCAATAGCACATTCATCCTCCTCATTAAACTTGTCTTCACGATCCTCCAGCTCTTCCAAAGTCATATCTTCCTATGTTGTCACGACTGACTGCTGGAGGATGCGCTGCTCATCTTCTGCCTCCTCTTCCAATTCTTTCAGACTTTAAGATGCCCTTTTTGTGTAAGATGTCACTCCATTCAGTGTCTGCGTTGGGGTCCTGCATCTTGTTTCCAATTGCTGAAGCCAGCTGTGCCCCCTAATAGACACTTTAAATCCTTTTTATTTAGCCTATCCACAGGAACACTCTTTTTTAAAACTCTCCTCCTCCGCTCCTATAAAAACTTGATACTCTCTATTGATTTTCCTCTTCTTTTCTTTGTCTCCTTTTGTGGACTTTATTCCACTGTGTCACTTAAATGTGACTTTTTTTTTTTTGAGACACAATCTTGCTCTGTTGCATAGGTTGGAGTGCAGTGGCACAATCTCAGCTCACTGCAACCTCCACCTCTCGGGTTCAAAAGATTCTCCTGCCTCAGCCTCCCAAGTAGCTGGGACTATAGGCATGTGCCACCACGCCCAACTAATTTTTGTATTTTTAGTAGAGACAGGTTTCACAACGTTAGCCAGGCTGGTCTTGAACTCCTGACCTCACACAATCCGCCCGCCTCAGCCTCCCAAAGTGCTGGAATTACAGGCATGAGCCACCACGCCCGGCCTTAAATGTGACTTTTAATCCAGTCTCATGTTCTCTCTCATGACCTCTTGTCTCTTCACTCTACATGGTTTCACTGGATGATCTCATTCACCCTTGTGGCTTTAACTACTCCCTAAAACCTAGTATGTCTTCTGCACTCCATCGCCTCATCTAAGCCTGAATGATACACTCAATCATCCAAACCCAGACATCTAAGAACCACTCTACCCACCAATCAATCCTAACAATTCAAACCCTAAATATCTCTTGTGGCCAGGCACAGTGTCTCACATCTATAATTCCAGCATTTTGGGAGGCCACGGAGGGAGGGCTGCTTGAGCCCAGGAGTTCAAGACCACCCTGGGCAACAAAGGGAGACCCTGTCTCTACAAAAACAAAAAAATTAGCCAGGCATGGTGGCACATGCCTGTGGTCCCAGCTACTCAGGAGGTTGAGGTAGGAAGATTGTTTGGGCCAAGAGGTCGAGGCTCCAATGAGCCATGATCACACCACTGCACTCCAGCCTGGGTAACAGAGCGAGACTCTGTCTCATAAATAAGTAATTATCTCTTGAATCCATCCCTTCCTATCCATTCTAGATGTTACTACTCTAATTTATATTATTGTCTCTGGCTTTGTTTTCTTCAATAGTTTCCCCAATGATAACCCTGTATCCATTCTGGCCCTCATTCAACCCATCTGCTACACAGACAACAAAATAATCTTTCTAAATCTTCAACCAAATAAGCCGGGCGAGGTGGCTCATGCCTGTAATCCTAGCACTTTGGTAGGCCGAGGCAGGTGGATCACAAGGTCAGGAGTTCAAGACCAGCCTGTCTAATATGGTGAAACCCTGTCTCTACTAAAAATACAGAAATTAGCCGGGCATGGTGGTGGGTGCCTGGGTCCTAGCTACTCAGGAGGCCGAGGCAAGAGAATCACTTGAATCCAGGAGGTGGAGGTTACAGTGAGCCAAGATCGTGCCACTGCACTCCTGCCTGGGCGATAGTGCGAGACTCCGTCTCAAAAACGAAAAAAAAAAAAAGCCCAAATATGCCCAAGTAGCCTACCTTTTTTTTTTTTTTTTTTTTTTTTTGAGATGGAGTCTTGCTCTGTCACCCAGGCTGGAGTGCAGTGGCGGGATCTGGGCTCACTGCAAGCTCCACCTCCCAGGTTCATGCCATTCTCCTGCCTCAGCCTCCCAAGTAGCTGAGACTACAGGCGCCAGCCACCACACCCAGCTAATTTTTTGTATTTTTAGTAGAGATGGGGTTTCACCTTGTTAGCCAGGATTGTCTCGATCTCCTGACTTCGTGATCTACCCGCCTCGGCCTCCCAAAGTGCTGGGATTACGGGCGTGAGCCACTGTGCCCGGCCTATTATTTTAAATTCTTCATTGGTTCCCCATGCCCTGCTAAAAAAAAAAAAAACAAAACTACTTTTCATAGTATATGAAGTCTTTCATAATCTAGCTCCTGTGTCTAAGTATCTACTTTACCTCTTGCCCTCAATTCCTTTCAGCCTACAAAACTAGCATAACACACTATTTGCAGTTCCCCAATTAGATAGCATATGTTGTTCCACATACTGCTACACGTTTGTGCCCAGGTTTTCCTCTGCTTAAAACACCCCTCTCATCTTTATCCATCTGGAGAACTCCTGTTAATTTTTCAATACTAAACAAAAGTGTCACCATTTCAGTCAAGCTTTCCTCGATCTCTCCAGATGGAACTGATCATCTTCACACAATTTGGTGTATTTACTCATTTACATATTTGCCTTCCCAACTAGTCCTTTAATTCCTTGATGGCACAGATGTCTTATTCCTTTTTCTATATCTAGCACTTAAGCACGGTCTTGAGAGAGTACATGGGTCATGTACTGGACAGATCTCCCAGACAAAAAATCAACAAAGAAACATCAGACTTGGGCCAGGTGCAGTGGCTCACGCCTGTAATCCAGCACTTTGTGCGGCGAGGCGGATGGATCATGAGGTCAGGAGTTCAAGACCAGCCTGGCCAAGATGGTGAAATCTCATTTCTACTCAAAAATACAAAAATTAGCCAGGTTGGTAGCTCATGCCTGTAATCCCAGCTACTGGGGAGGCTGAGGCAGGAGAAGTGCTTGAACCTGGGAGGCAGAGGTTGCAGTGAGCTGAGATCCTGCCATTGCACTCCAGCCTGGGTGACAAGAGGGAGAGTCCGTCTCAAAAAAAAAAAAAAAAAATCGGGCTGGGGAGCCAAGATGGCCAAATAGGAACAGCTCCGGTCTACAGCTCCCAGCGTGAGCGACGCAGAAGATGGGTGATTTCTGCATTTCCATCTGAGGTACCGGGTTCATCTCACTAGGGAGTGCCAGAGAGTGGGCACAGGACAGTGGGTGCAGCGCACTGTGCACGAGCCGAAGCAGGGCAAGGCATTGCCTCACTCGGGAAGCGCAAGGAGTCAGGGAGTTCCCTTTCCTGGTCAAGGAAAGGGGTGACAGACGGCACCTGGAAAATCGGGTCACTCCCACCCCAATACTGCGCTTTTCTGACGGGCTTAGGAAACGGCGCACCAGGAGATTATATCCCACACCTGGCTCGGAGGGTCCTATGCCCACGGAGTCTCGCTGATTGCTAGCACAGCAGCCTGAGATCAAACTGCAAGGCGGCAGCGAGGCTGGGGGAGGGGCGCCCACCATTGCCCAGGCTTGCTTAGGTAAACAAAGCAGCCGGGAAGCTCGAACTGGGTGGAGCACACCACAGCTCAAGGAGGCCTGCCTGCCTCCGTAGGCTCCACCTCTGGGGGCAGGGCACAGACAAACAAAAAGACAGCAGTAACCTCTGCAGACTTAAATGTCCCTGTCTGACAGCTTTGAAGAGAGCAGTGGTTCTCCCAGCACACAGGTGGAGATCTGAGAATGGGCAG
Source organism: Homo sapiens (assembly GCF_000001405.40). Lineage (NCBI taxonomy): Eukaryota > Metazoa > Chordata > Mammalia > Primates > Hominidae > Homo > Homo sapiens. The sequence goes on along the minus strand of NC_000001.11, from coordinate 52,176,465 downwards.
ACTGCCTCCTCAAGTGGGTCCTTGACCCTTGACCAGCCTAACTGGGAGACACCCCCCAGTAGGGGCAGACTGACACCTCACACGGCCGGGTACTCCTCTGAGACAAAACTTCCAGAGGAACGATCAGGCAGCAGCATTTGCGGTTCACCAAGATCCGCTGTTCTACAGCCACCACTGCTGATACCCAGGCAAACAGGGTCTGGAGTGGACCTCTAGCAAACTCCAACAGACCTGCAGCTGAGGGTCCTATCTGTTAGAAGGAAAACTAACAAACAGAAAGGACATCCACACCAAAAACCCATCTGTACATCACCATCATCAAAGACCAAAAGTAGATAAAACTACAAAGATGAGGAAAAAACAGAGCAGAAAAACTGGAAACTCTAAAAAGCAGCGTGTCTCTCCTCCTCCAAAGGAACGCAGTTCCTCACCAGCAATGGAACAAACCTGGATGGAGAATGACTTTGACGAGCTGAGAGAAGAAGGCTTCAGACGATCAAACTACTCCAAGCTACAGGAGGAAATTCAAACCAAAGGCAAAGAAGTTGAAAACTTTGAAAAAAACTTAGACAAATGTATAACTAGAATAACCAATACAGAGAAGTGCTTAAAGGAGCTGAAAGCCAAGGCTCGAGAACTACGTGAAGAATGCAGAAGCCTCAGGAGCCGATGCGATCAACTGGAAGAAACGGTTTCAGTGATGGAAGATGAAATGAATGAAATGAAGCAAGAAGGGAAGTTTAGAGAAAAAAGAATAAAAAGAAACGAACAAAGCCTCCAAGAAAAATGGGACTATGTGAAAAGACCAAATCTACATCTGAATGGTGTACCTGAAAGTGACGGGGAGAATGGAACCAAGTTGGCAAACACTCTGCAGGATATTATCCAGGAGAACTTCCCCAATCTAGCAAGGCAGGCCAACATTCAGATTCAGGAAATACAGAGAACGCCACAAAGATACTCCTCGAGAAGAGCAACTCCAAGACACATAATTGTCAGATTCACCAAAGTTGAAATGAAGGAAAAAATGTTAAGGGCAGCCACAGAGAAAGGTCGGGTTACCCACAAAGGGAAGCCCATCAGACTAACAGCTGATCTCTCGGCAGAAACTCTACGAGCCAGAAGAGAGTAGGGGCCAATATTCAACATTCTTAAAGAAAAGAATTTTCAACCCAGAATTTCATATCCAGCCAAACTAAGCTTCATAAGTGAAGGAGAAATAAAATACTTTACAGACAAGCAAATGCTGAGAGATTTTGTCACCACCAGGCCTGCCCTAAAAGAGCTCCTGAAGGAAGCACTAAACATGGAAAGGAACAACCAGTACCAGCCGCTGCAAAATCATGCCAAAATGTAAAGACCATCAAGACTAGGAAGAAACTGCATCAACTAAAGAGCAAAATAACCAGCTAACACCATAATGACAGGATCAAATTCACACATAACAATATTAACTTTCAATGTAAATGGACTAAACGCTCCAATTAAAAGACACAGACTGGCAAATTGGATAAAGAGTCAAGACCCATCAGTGTGCTGTATTCAGGACACCCATCTCACGTGCACAGACACACATAGGCTCAAAATAAAAGGATGGAGGAAGATCTACCAAGCAAATGGAAAACAAAAAAAGGCAGGGGTTGCAATCCTAGTCTCGGATAAAACAGACTTTAAACCAACAAAGATCAAAAGAGACAAAGAAGGCCATTACATAATGGTAAAGGGATCAATTCAGCAAGAAGAGCTAACTATCCTAAATATATATGCACCCAATACAGGAGCACCCAGATTCATAAAGCAAGTCCTGAGTGACCTACAAAGAGACTCAGACTCCCACACAATAATAATGGGAGACTTTAACACCCCACTGTCAACATTAGACAGATCAATGAGACAGAAAGTTAACAAGGATACCCAGGAATTGAACTCAGCTCTGCACCAAGCAGACCTAATAGATATCTACAGAACTCTCCACCCCAAATCAACAGAATATACATTATTCTCAGCACCACACCACACCTATTCCAAAATTGACCACATAGTTGGAAGTAAAGCTCTCCTCAGCAAATGTAAAAGAACAGAAATTATAACAAACTGTCTCTCAGACCACAGTGCAATCAAACTAGAACTCAGGATTAAGAAACTCACTCAAAACCACTCAACTACATGGAAACTGAACAACCTGCTCCTGAATGACTACTGGGTACATAACAAAATGAAGGCAGAAATAAAGATGTTCTTTGAAACCAACAAGAACAAAGACACAACATACCAGAATCTCTGGGACACATTCAAAGTAGTGTGTAGAGGGAAATTTATAGCACTAAATGCCCACAAGACAAAGCAGGAAAGATCCAAAATTGACACCCTAACATCACAATTAAAAGAACTAGAAAAGCAAGAGCAAACACATTCAAAAGCTAGCAGAAGGCAAGAAATAACTAAAATCAGAGCAGAACTGAAGGAAATAGAGACAAAAAAAAACTCTTCAAAAAATTAATGAATCCAGGAGCCGGTTTTTTGAAAGGATCAACAAAACTGATAGACCGCTAGCAAGACTAACAAAGAAAAAAAGAGGGAAGAATCAAATAGACACAATAAAAAATTATAAAGGGGATATCACCACCGATCTCACAGGAATACAAACTACCATCAGAGAATACTATAAACACCTCTACACAAATAAACTAGAAAATCTAGAAGAAATGGATAAATTCCTCGACACATACACTCTCCCAAGACTAAACCAGGAAGAAGTTGAATCTCTGAATAGACCAATAACAGGATCTGAAATTGTGGCAATAATCAACAGCTTACCAACCAAAAAGAGTCCAGGACCAGATGGATTCACAGCCGAATTCTACCAGAGGTACAAGGAGGAACTGGTACCATTCCTTCTGAAACTATTCCAATCAACAGAAAAAGAGGGAACCCTCCCTAACTCATTTTATGAGGCCAGCATCATCCTGATACCAAAGCCGGGCAGAGACACAACCAAAAAAGAGAATTAGAGACCAATATCCTTGATGAACATTGATGCAAAAATCCTCAATAAAATACTGGCAAACCAAATCCAGCAGCACATCAAAAAGCTTATCCACCATGATCAAGTGGGCTTCATCCCTGGGATGCAAGACCAGTTCAATATAAGCAAATCAATAAATGTAATCCAGCATATAAACAGAACCAAAGACAAAAACCACATGATTATCTCAGTAGATGCAGAAAAAGCCTTTGACAAAATTCAACAACACTTCATGCTAAAAACTCTCAATAAATTAGGTATTGATGGGACGTATCTCAAAATAATAAGAGCTATCTATGACAAACCAACAGCCAATATCATACTGAATGGGCAAAAACTGGAAGCATTCCCTTTGAAAACTGGCACAAGACAGGGATGCCCTCTCTCACCACTCCTATTCAACATAGTGTTGGAAGTTCTGGCCAGGGCAATTAGGCAGGAGAAGGAAATAAAGGGTATTCAATTAGGAAAAGAGGAAGTCAAATTGTCCCTGTTTGTAGATGACATGATTGTATATCTAGAAAACCCCATTGTCTCAGCCCAAAATCTCCTTAAGCTGATAAGCAACTTCGGCAAAGTCTCAGGATACAAAATCAATGTACAAAAATCACAAGCATTCTTATACACCAATAACAGACAAACAGAGAGCCAAATCATGAGTGAACTCCCATTCACAATTGCTTCAAAGAGAATAAAATACTTAGGAATCCAACTTACAAGGGACGTGAAGGACCTCTTCAAGGAGAACTACAAACCACTGCTCAATGAAATAAAAGAGGATACAAACAAATGGAAGAACATTCCATGCTCATGGGTAGGAACAATCAATACCGTGAAAATGGCCATACTGCCCAAGGTAATTTATAGATTCAATGCCATCCCCATCAAGCTACCAATGACTTTCTTCACAGAATTGGAAAAAACTACTTTAAAGTTCATAAGGAACCAAAAAAGAGCCCGAATCACCAAGTCAATCCTAAGCCAAAAGAACAAAGCTGGAGGCATCATGCTACCTGACTTCAAACTATACTACAAGGCTACAGTAACCAAAACAGCATGGTACTGGTACCAAAATAGAGATATAGATCAATGGAACAGAACAGAGCCCTCAGAAATAACGCCGCATATCTACAACTATCTGATCTTTGACAAATCTGAGATAAACAAGCAATGGGGAAAGGATTCCCTATTTAATAAATGGTGCTGGGAAAACTGGCTAGCCATATGTAGAAAGCTGAAACTGGATCCCTTCCTTACATCTTATAAAAAATTTAATTCAAGATGGACTAAAGACTTAAACGTTAGACCTAAAACCATAAAAACCCTAGAAGAAAACCTAGGCATTACCATTCAGGACATAGGCATGGGCAAGGACTTCATGTCTAAAACACCAAAAGCAATGGCAACAAAAGCCAAAATTGACAAATGGGATCTCATTAAACTAAAGAGCTTCTGCACAGCAAAAGAAACTACCATCAGAGTGAACAGGCAACCTACAAAATGGAAGAAAATTTTCGCAACCTACTCATCTGACAAAGAGCTAATATCCAGAATCTACAATGAACACAAACAAATTTACAAGAAAAAAACAAACAACCCCATCAAAAAGCAGGCAAAGGATATGAACAGACACTTCTCAAAAGAAGACATTTATGTAGCCAAAAGACACATGAAAAAATGCTCATCATCACTGGCCATCAGAGAAATGCAAATCAAAACTACAATGAGATACCATCTCATACCAGTTAGAATGGCGATCATTAAAAAGTCAGGAAACAACAGGTGCTGGAGAGGATGTGGAGAAATAGGAACACTTTTACACTGTTGGTGGGACTGTAAACTAGTTCAACCATTGTGGAAGTCAGTGTGGCAATTCCTCAGGGATCTAGAACTAGAAAAACCATTTGACCCAGCAATCCCATTACTGGGTATATACCCAAAGGACTATAAATCATGCTGCTGTAAAGACACATGCACACGTATGTTTATTGCGGCACTATTCACAATAGCAAAGACTTGGAACCAACCCAAATGTCCAACAATGATATAGTGGATTAAGAAAATGTGGCACATATACACCATGGAATACTATGCAGCCATAAAAAATGATGAGTTCACGTCCTTTGTAGGGACATGGATGAAATTGGAAATCATCATTCTCAGTAAACAATCACAAGGAGAAAACCAAACACCGCATGTTCTCACTCATAGATGGGAATTGAACAATGAGAACACATGGACACAGGAAGGGGAACATCACACTCTGGGGACTGTTGTGGGGTGGGGGGAGCGGGGAGGGACAGCATTAGGAGATATACCTAATGCTAAATGACGAGTTAATGGGTGCAGCACACCAGCATGGCACATGTATACATATGTAACTAACCTGCACATTGTGTACATGTACCCTAAAACTTAAAGTATAATTAAAAAAAAAAAACCATCGGACTTAATCTGCACTATAGAACACATGGACCTAATAGATATTAACAGGACATTTCATCCAATAACTGCAGAATATACATTTTTATCTTCAGCATGTGGATCATTCTCAAGTAGAGACCATATGTTCGGTCACAAAACAAGCCTTAAAACGTTCAAAAGCATGGAAATATCAGGCATCTTCTCTGACCACAAGGGAATAAAATTACAAATCAATAATGAGGAATTTTGGAAACTATACAAACACATGGAAATTAAACAATATACTCCTGAATGGCCAGTAAGGAAATTGAACATTTTATTGAAACAAATAATAATGGAAACACAACATGCCGAAACCTATGGGATACAGCAAAAGCAGTACTAAGAGGACAATTTATAGCTCTAAGTGCCTACATCAAAAAAGAAAAACCTTCAAATAAATAACCTAATGATGCATCTTAAAGAACTAGAAAAGCAAGAGCAAACCAAACCCAAAATTAGAAGAAAAGAAGTAATAAAGATCAGAGAATAAATGAATTTGAAAATTAAAAGGAAAAAAGAAATGAATTTGAAATGAAAACAATACAAAAGATCAATGAAACAAATGTCAGTTTCTTTGAAAAGATAAATAAAATTGACAAACCTTTAGCCAGACTAAGAAAAAAAGAAGACTCAAACGAAATCAGAGATGAAAAAGGAGACATTATTACTGATACCAAGAAATTCAAAGGATCATGAGTGGCTACTATGAAAAACTATATGCCAGCAAATTAAGAGTAAATGGGTCAATAAGTATCGTCAAATGAATAAATGATGCAATGGATTTACAAATATTAGTATGTTCATAAATTAATGTTATAGAAACTAAGAGGAAACAATTATTACAGCTTAGAATTATCTAACAAGACTTCATGAAAAGCTTTGAACTGAATATTAAATGAAGATAGGAAGAATTTTTAAAAAAGAGCAATAAAATTTTTCAAAATCTTCTTAAGTAAAATCTGCAAAAGGTCAAAACGAATTCTTGGCTGTTCCAACGTATGTAACTGTTACATCACATAACGAAAATGTATTTCTGCAGGAAAAAATTGAGGCTTACTGATTGACAAATCCATTCAACAAATGTATTAGCTTACTAAAGTCCTAGACCAAGTTGAAAATAAGAGGATAGCAAGGAGTTAGGGTACAAATACTTCATAATAGCAAGTTTTGGGGTCAAATCTCATTACAACATAATTACAATAAAAATCTCCACATAATTCACATTTATATAAATATTCACTCAACCAATACTTGAGCACCTGGTTACTGTGTTCCTTCAACAATCAAGGGTACAGATTAAGCCCTCTATTATTATAACATTTTAAAATAATTAAGTCAGTTAAACACTCAGTGGAGTTTATCTAACCAGGTTGTTGAATTTGAGTATTAGCACTGGAGATGAAACAGCAAGTAAACAGGCAAAACCTGAGCCCTCGCAGAGATTACATTCTAATGGATGGAAATGAATGATCAACAAGATAAACATGTAAAATATATGATATGCTAGATGACGTGTTAAGATGAAAAATAAAGAGAGAGGAAAATTTGAGGGTTATAAATTTATTTTATTTTATTCAGACAGTGTCTCACTCTGTCACCCAAGCTGGAGAGCAGTGGCACAATCATGGCTCATGGCAGCCTTGACCTCCTGGGCTTAGGTGAACCTCACATCTCAGCCTCCCAAGCTGGGAGTACAGGCGTGTACCACCACGTCTGGCTAGTTTTTTTGCATTTTTTGTAGAGATTGGGTTTTATCATGTTGCCCATGCTGGTCTCAAACTCCTGGACTCAAGCAATCTACCCGCCTCTGCCTCCCAAAGTGCTAGGATTATAGGCATGAGCCACTGCACTCGACTAGGGGGTTACAATTTTAAATTAGGCAGCCAGAGAAAGTCTCACTGAGTCACATCAAGATCTGGATGTCAGGGAGCAATCTGGGAATTCAGAGGAAGGTAGTTAAAAACAGAGGGACAGCAAGAACAAAGCACAGATTAAGGGAGGGAAAGAGTAGCAGATGATAGGAAAGGAGTTTCCAGGGGGGTCAGATTAGGGTCGGCCAACTGCCACTTATTTCCAGCAAAAATCAATACAACAAAATTTCAATACATTAAAAGAAACCTGATACCTCATCTAGAATTTGCTTTTAAAGAATCTAATCTGGCTAGGCGTGGTGGCTCATACCTGTAATCCTAGTACTCTGGGAGGCTGAGGCAGGAATATTGCTTGATCCCAGGAGTTCAAAACCAGCCTGGACAACATAGGAAGACCTTGTCTCTACAAAATAGTAAAAAATTAGCCAGGCATGGTGGTGTGTGTCTGTGGTCCCAGCTACTTGGGAGGCTGAGATGGGAGGCTTGTTTGAGCCTGAGGTCAAGGCCACAGTGAGCCACAATCAAGCCACCGCACTCCAGCCTGGGCTACAGAGCAAGACCCTGTTGCTTTTAAAAAAAAAAAAAAAGGCCAAGCACAGTGGCTCACGCCTGTAATCCTAGCACTTTGGGAGGCCAAGGCAGGCAGATCACCTGAGGTCAGGAGTTTGAGACCAGCCTGACCAATACGGTGAAACCCCGTCTCTATTGAAAATACACAATCTAGCCGGGTGTGGTGGTGTGCGCCTGTAGCCCCAGCAATGCAGGACGCTGAGACAGGACAACTGCTTGAACCTGGGCAGCAGAGGTTGCAGTAAGCTGAGATCGCACCATTGCACTCCAGCCTGGATGACAGAGCGAGACTCTGTCAAAAAAAAAAAAAAAAAAAAAAGAAGACGAAGAGGAGGAAGAGGAGGAGGAATCTAATCTGTAACACAAACTTAATTTGTTTCTATTTTCAAATTTGCTTTATGACAGATTTTAATAAGTTTTCTTAAATAAGAAGTATACTAAATGAAAGCAGTCCCTCCTAACTCCTAAGGAAGCCCCAAATTTCACACAGAAACCACTCTATGATCTACACAATGACAAAATGCATATAATACTATAATGCAACTTACTTCTAACTCCTTTCAACAGCCTGCTGAAAATATTTCACTAATCCTAAATTTATTTGCCTTTTCTCCAAAAAGCTACAGAAACAAAGATTTTTGCTGCAAGCATCTCACAGGATCTGAATGTTCCAAAGATCAACTGTGATTCTGCTGTCTGCACACTGAGAGGTCATTGCTTTGGACCTGGTATCATGAAGGCTCTCTTGAAGTTATCTTCAGTTCATCTGCTTGTTGCTGTGACTTTGTTTGGATATGCAGAATCAAGAGTATTACTGTACTCTTGATTGGCTTCACATCAAAATTAAAGCAATGACAGTTGATGATTTGTATGTGCTTTCTGATGAGGTGTTTCTGAGAAGTGGGTGTCCTGTAACCAAAGTGTGGCAAGATTTGTATACGTTTTTGTACTCTACAAGTGACGGTGGCATCATATATCAGGGTAAAAGGGTAGGTTATTTTTAGATCTATGCTAATATTCACCTCTAGAACATTACCAAGGCGAGGATTCATATGTATCTCATGCGCTGTTGAGTGAGATGGGTCTTCATGGCAACGTGCAATTTCATTTATCCATCCAAGGCAGGCCAAATCACTGGCTTCGTCCACTTACCAAGACTACTGCTGAAACACTATCAAGTGCTTGAAATCATGTTTCAAAGCTTAAAATGTATTTTTCTTATTTATCCACCAAGATTGATGGGGTCAAGGAAGTACCTAACATTGGATCACTGCACATCCTATGCCTCATTTTTCTTCAATGAGAAACAGAAGGTGAGCTATGTAATGTGATATACAGAGCAACTGCAGCTGCCTGAGGACTTAGAAACAAGAGGCCTAAACTATAGCAATCCTGACAATGGCAGAGTTCTTACTGATACCATGTGTTTGTATTAATATGCAACTTTAATGAAGCAGACATTTCTTTTTATGACTCCTTTTGCAAAACTTTTTAAATTATATTGGAATCATATTCAATACATAATCTTTATTCTGCTAATGGGAATTATTTTTTATAAAGATCAATTGATACATTTTTTAAAAAGATTTGTTCAGAGTAAATAAGCATGAAATGTAAGCCTTAAAACTTTTTTTTCTTCTTAAGATCTGGTGTCACCCAGGCTGGAGTGCAGTGGCATTATCACAGCTACTGCAGCCTTGACCTCCCCAGGCTCGGGTGATCCTCCCACCTCAGCCTCCAGCTGGGACTACAGGTGCGTGTCACCATGCCTGACTTTTTTGTTTTTTGTAGAGATGGGACAAGATGTTGTCTAGGCTGGTCTCGAACTCCTGGGCTCAAGCAATGCTCCTACCTTGGCCTCCTCACGCTGGGATTACAGGCATAAGCTACCGCACCCAGCCTAAAACTTTTTTTTTTAATCATCAGGGTAGAATTAGTATATATAAGCAAACAATAAAGTGTTCAGATGAAAAATCATGAAGGATATAGATTAAGCCCTGTATTATTAAAACATTTTAAAATGATTAAGTCAGTTAAACACTCAATAGAGTTTATCTAACCAGGTTGTTGAATTTATAAAAACTTTTAAACAGGCTAGGTAATCTTATGAGGTAAAGTGCAGGTTGCAACATTCAAACTAAAAATGGGATGAGTTCAGATTACTCCAGTGGTTCTCAAATTGTAGTCCACAGACTCGCGGGAATCCACATCTTAGTATGTATGCCCTTTTCACCATGTTGACAACTGTAGTGAAAGCACAATAGCAATGATGGGTAGAACTGCTTGCACCTTAGCAATAATCAAGGCAGCAATACCAAACTATACTGGTAGTCTTATTCTTCACTGCCATGCACTCTCAGTTGTTCTAAAACGTCAGTTTCACTTGACTGATGAAGCAATAAAAATTATTAACTTTGTTAAATCTCAACTCGAGTAAAGTCTTTTTAATATTCTGTGTGACAAAATGGAAATATGAAGAAGGCACTTCTACTGCATACCAAAGTGTGACGGTATGCAAACTCACCCCTTTTTCCATGTAACTACTGTTGCTTCAAAGAACAGAGGGCATTAAAACAGAGCACAAATAGCAGGAGAGTCAAAGAAGAGGAGCTAAGTAGGATACAAGATATGCTTCCAATCCTCCAATAATTGATGACACAGTCTAGAAGACAAATTTGCTGTTATTATTTATATGCCCATCTCTTCAATGATTGTTCTGACAATTTCAATCACTTTGCCACGTTCTAGGAACTATGCTGATCACTATTGAATTGAACCTGAAATAGTAAACTTTTCTGTCAGAAGAATCCAGAGTTCTAAGCCAATGGTTCTAAACTCTTAACAGCAAAACCTCTATTAACAGCAGAATCCCAATAGGAGCTCACAGAAAAGTGCTCTGATTGAAGCAGCATATAGAAAAGTTCAGATACATACATCCCATAAATTTGCCTTCTATCTCCCATTTACCTATTCTCAGTGGTGATTCTGCGGGCCATCTAATTCAATCATATTTTCCCCCAGGTCTCAACTGATTTATTCTGTTCCCTTCTATATACACACACATGCATGTATACACACAAAACTCCCTCACAGACTGTTCAGGGGTCCTATTATCCTTCCCCTTCCTTTTCTCTAATTCATATTGAAAGATCTCAATGAGGCCCCTCCACCAAACCACTTGCCTTTTTCTAGTGATCTCTTTCTTTCTTGTCTAATTACACTGATAGTTCCTCTGAAAATGGTGAAGGTGGACATTTTCTTTTGTTTCTGACTTTAATAAAAATTCTTTCAGTATTTCACCACTAAGTCTGATATGAGTTTTTTATTATATTTATATAATTAAAAACAAGAAAGGCAGTGGGGTCCCTTAACATTATTGTTACTATTGTTCAATACCAGCCTACTCTTATTTTCTGGATTTTTTTTTATTGTGGTAAAATACACATATTTACCATTTTAGCTATTTTTAAAAGTGTGCAATTTGGTGGCATTAAATATGTCCACACAGTTGTGCAACCATTACCTCCAACCATCTTCAGAAATTTTTCATCTTCCCAAACTGAAACTCTCTACCTATTAAACACTGATCCCCATCTCCCCTTCCCCATAGCTTCTGACAGACACCATTCTGCTTTGTCTCTACAAACTTCCCAATCATATTATTTTACTGCTAAGAATCTCAAATCCTGAAAGGCTGAGTCACTTTTCCAAGATCACCCAGCTGATTACTGGCAGATAAAAGCCAAAAGCAAGTGCTTACTTAGAAAGGAAAGCAGCAATCATCTATAGCCAAATAGCTTCATTTCCTTTTCTGCCTCAATGCCTTGTTAGCCTTGGTCTAGTGCATGTCTGCAAAGGATGGATGGATGGATGGATGGATGGACGGATGGACGGACGGACAAAGATATATACTCATTGTCAGCTGGGCGCAGACAGATGTATAAAGATATATATTCATTGTTGGCTCGGTGCAAACAGATAGATAGATAGATAGATGTATAAAGATATATACTCATTGTCGGCTTGGCGCAGTGGCTCCTGCCTGTAATCCCAACACTTTGGGAGTCCGAGGCGGGTGGATTACTTGAGGTGAGGAGTTCAAGACCAGACTGGCCAACGTGTTAAAAGCCCATCTCTGCTAAAAATACAAAAATTAGCTGGACGTGGTGGTGCATGCCTGTAATCCCAACTACTCAAGAAGCTGAGGCAGGAGAATCACTTGAACCTGGGAGGCAGAGGTTGCAGTGAGCCGAGATCATGCCACTGCACTCCAGCCTGGGCTACAGAATGAGACCCCATCTTAAAAAACAAACAAACAAAAAAGATATATACTCATTGTCTTTTAAGCAATAAATGTAGAAATTCAGTCTGGGCAACATGGTGAAAACCCGTCTCTACAAAAAAAAAAAAAAAAATTAGCTAGGTGTGGTGGTGCGCATCTATAGTCCCAGCTACTGGGGAGACCAAGGTGGGAAGATGGCTTGAGCCTAGGAGGCGGGGGTTGCAGTGAGCAGTGATTGAGCCACTACGCTCCAGCCTGGGCAACAGTGAGACCCTGTCTTAAAAAAAAGGTAGAAATTTGGGTCATATTCAATATGGTCAATTTTTAACAGGCTGAATAGTGTTGACCATAAATATCTACCCATCTGAAAGCACATCACCAATTGCATGGCCTAGAGCTTGATTCTTGGTCTTATCGTATTTAACTTTTTTTTTTTTAATAATTTAGATGAGGTCTCACTATGTTGCCCACGCTGGTCTTAAACTCCTGGGCTCAAGTGATCCTCCCGAAGTCCTGGGATTACAGATGTGAGCCACCGTGCCTGGTCCTGTTTAACATTTTTATTAATGATTTGGATGTGGCCATTTATGGCACAATAATGAAATATGTGATGGATATAAAGAAAAGTATGACAGCTGAATCTGCTGGATCAAAGAATCAGTATTCGAAAGATCTAACCAAATTAGAATGTTAGAATACTAAACTAAATCATCTCTAACAGACCTAAACTAAAAGAAAATTAATAAATAAAAATAAAATAGGTCAGCACCATTTTGCTGGAGCCTGCAACCAAGTGGGAGTGGAGTGGAGCGGCCTTTGTTGCCAACTCTTTCCTCTCTCCCACAGTTTGGTCAGCAGGTTGATTAGGCCATTGGCCCTCGAGCCAAGACTTGTCTCATATTTAGTTCTGGGGAGCACCTCATAGACATGAGTGATGTAGAGGAGAACAACTTCAAGGGCATAGTTAATGTTCATGAAGAAACTGAAGAGTTTTTTCCAAAAATGTTGAAGATAAATCAAGGTAAAAGAAGGCTAATGGAAAGTATTAAGGATCAGAAAGTTAAAATTGAATGGGGGAAAAAACTGAACAGAAGATTGGTCGGATAGAAGCACTTGAATTTTTTTAAGGCTATTTTGAATTGTTTGAATTGGGGAAGAATACGCAAAGTACAAAAAGTGAAAAACTCAAGAATGAAGAGAAGTAGAAAGCAAGAGTGAAGTAGAATTAAAAGAATCTGGAAGAATAAATGGGTCCTAAGTAAATGAGTCTTCACTCTCAGTCAAAATCTCCAACAGGAACTCCTGCTTGTGTAAAATTGGAGAGATGGTCAGGATCTCGTAGTCCTTCAAGGGTTTTCAAACACTCTGAATCCCATTCTCGATCAAGATCAAAATGTCAAGGAGGCATTCTCATCGACGTTACACACTTGATCCAGATCCCACTCTTGATCCAGATACCACTCTCACAGGAGACGAAGTAGCTCATATACACCAGAATACTGGCAGTGAAGGAGCCGAAGTCATTCTCCAATGTCTAACCAGAGAAGACACACTGGCAGAAGGGCAAATCCAGATCCCAACACTTGCCTTAGAGTGTTTGGCCTTAGTTTGTACACAACAGACAGAGATCTTCGTGAAGTATGTTCTTGATATGGACCTTTGAATGGTGCCAATGTGGTTTACAACCAGCAAACTGGGCGATCTCAAGGATTTGCTTTTGTGCATTTTTAGGGAATAGATGACTCAAAGGAGGCTATGGTAAGGGCAAACAGAAAGGAGCTGGATGATAGAAGAAATTCGGGTGGATTATTCTATTACCAAGACAATGCGCACACCTATACCAGGCATCTATATGGGCAGAACTCATAGTGGTGGTGGCGGAGGTGGTGGCAAAGGCGGCAGTGGAGGTGGTCACAGACGTCGAGATTCTTACTATGATAGAGGATATCATCGTGGATATGACAGATATGAAGACTATGATTACCGGTACAGAAGATGATCACCTTCTCCTTATTATAGTCGATACAGATCACAATCAAGATCTCATTCCTGCAGCCCAAGACACTATTGATAATGAAATGGTTGCAATGAAGGACATTTTTTTCCTCTTTATTTTCTTTTTCCTCTCCTTTTTTTTTTTTAATTCTGGATGTCCCTAAGCTTCTGATTCTTCCTAGTCTTTAAGAAAAAAAAATTTTTGGTTTATTTAGTATCTACATTATACTCCTAAAGATGTAATTGTTGTCATTTTGAGTAAACATCTTGAGTATAAAAGCAACCCTAGTGTTATACTCCGTAAACTTTTTTTTTTTTTGCTTTTACTAACATAAACTCCTAGCTAATCAAATAAGAAATTACCTTTTTAAAGCTTCTTTTGTGTTAGATATTGTATTAGAGATCTGCATTTATGAAGAACTCCTTTTTAAACTTTCTTTTGAGGAAGACAGTAACACATAAATTAGTTCAGTCATGTCATGTTTGGGGTGGCATGGAACAGTCAAGTAGTTAGGTGCAGAAAGTTTGAAGCTATAAAAGAAAATACTTGGACATTTCTTTTGAAGAATGGAATTTTTGAGCCCTAAAAATTAAGTCATTTTTTAGAGATAAAAAGCTTGCAGACTCCTATGAAAGATGTATTTAAAATACATCTCTTAAAACTTTGGCTAGGCACAGTGGCTCACACCGGTAATCCTAGCACTTTGGGAGGCTGAGGCAGGCGGATTGCCTGAGCTCAAGAGTTCAAGACCAGCCTGGGCAACATAGCAAAACCCTGTCTCTACTAAAAATACAAAAAATTAGCTGGGCGTGGTAGTGCGTGCTTGCTGTCCCAGCTACTCAGGAGGCTGAGGCAGGAGAATCGCTTGAACCCAGGAGGCGGAGGTTGCAGTGAGCTGAGATTGCGCCACTGCACTCCAGCCTGGGTGATAGAGCAAGACTCTGTCTCCAAAAAAAAATAAAATAAAATACATCTGTCAAAACTTAAAAACTAAAGTGTGATTTCTTTGTTAAATTTATTGAAGTTTAAGTATTCCCTTAATCAGTGAAGGACAACCCTTATTTATTACCTAGAGCAACTATATAATTTGCTGTTAGAAATTTTGGTATTGGAACTATGGATAAGCAGGTTATCATATAGTATAGAATCCTTAGAAGATACATGTGGGGAAAAGTAGTCTCCTTTCAAATAAAAGTTAATTTATTTGAAAAAATAAAATAAAAAGACCCAAACTACTGAATTGTCTGTCACAGAAAATATCATCAGTAAACAGGCTAATGCAATCTCAAACTGCACTAGAAATGTCCAGAATAAGGAGAGTGGGGATTATCATGTTCTATGCTATACTGATCAACTGCATGGTTCATTTCAACCAACATTCCCTGGACACCTACTATGTGCCAGACCACACTGAAATATTGTTTTCAATTTCAGTTAATATTACATATTAACAAACAAAAACACATTCAAGAGAAAATAAGAAAAATGTCTAAAAGGTTTTTATTCATAAAGAATCAAAGCAACTTAGAAAAATGTCATCAAGGCCGGGCACAGTGGCTCACGCCTGTAATCCCAGCACTGCAGGAGGCCGACGCAGGCGGATCACGAGGTCAGGAGATCAACACCATCCTGGCTAACACGGTGCCCGACTCTATGGACTATTCCTTTGAATGTATTGGTAATGTGAAGGTCATGAGAGCAGCACTTGAGGCGTGTCACAAGGGCTGGGGCATCAGCGTGGTGGCTAGAGTAGCCGCTTCAGGTGAAGAAACTGCCACTCGTCCATTCCAGCTGGTAACAGGTCACACATAGAAAGGCACTGCCTTTGGAGGATGGAAGAATGTAGAAAGTGTCCCAAAGTTGGTGTCTGAATATATGTCCAAAAAGATAAAAGTTGATGAATTTGTGACTCACAATCTGTCTTTTGAGGAAATCAACAAAGCCTTTGAACTGATGCATTCTGGAAAGAGCATTCGAACTGTTGTAAAGATTTAATTGAAAAGAGAAAAATAAAGTCCATCCTGTCGTGATGCGATGGGAGCAGCTTAACAGGCAGGGAGAAGCGCCTCCAACCTCACAGCCTCGTAGAGCTTCACAGCTACTCCAGAGAATAGTGTTATGTGTGTAATTCATGAATCTCTATAATCAAGGACAAGGATAATTCAGTCATGAACCTGTTTTCTGGACGCTCCTTCACATGAATAATTGCTAGCTTATTAATGAATATTTTAACATAAAAGTAATTTCTACCAAAAAAAAAAGAAACCCCGACTCTACTAAAAATACAAAAAAATTAGCCGGGCATGGTGGCGGGTGCCTGTAGTCCCAGCTACTCAGGAGGCTGAGGCAGGAGAACAGCGTGAACCTGGGAGGCGGAGCTTGCAGTGAGCCGAGATCTCGCCACTGCACTCCAGCCTGGGTGACAGAGCGAGACTCCATCTCAAAAAAAAAAAGAAAAAGAAAAATGTCATCAAAATCATCCTAACAATAAACATTTGCTTATTACATGTTGCAGCCATGGAGGTATGTCGCTTATATCAACCTTTATGAAATAACTTTCCAATAAGCTTCTAGGTGCACAGTTAGCTGACAGCCTCCTACTGCAGTCCCTTCAGGATGCCCAGCTTTCAAGCTGAAGTCACACTCTTCCTGGGCAGCCCCACCCAATGACTACTCATAACATAGGCACTAAGGCCTGGCCACTTCTGTCCAATGCAGGACTCCTTTAATGAACAATTTTTGTTCAAGTCTTCACTGTGTTGTCTGAGACTCTGTCAGACCTGCATCGCACTCTGAGACTCTCCCTGACAATTGTGCCTCCTCTCCCTTTCCTTTCACGGAAGTCCTCTCCTACTTCATGTATCTCTTATAGTCCTGTCTCAGCAGCTGCTTCCTGAAGGACTCAAACTGGCACAGCTGGTACCAGAAATTGACTAAGAAAGCAGGAGCTAAGATGGGGCTTAGGAATTAGATAACTTACTGCCCAACTGACAATGAAGCTCTCATCCCAGGTGGTATGTGAGGCATGACAGGCCCTGGCACAAGCTGGTGGCCCAAGTGTTAACACGCAAGTTGTGACTTGGGAGAATGTTCCCAGAGAGGAACACTCAAACTGGTGTAAAGATTCAGATATTTGGGAAGGGGAACACAAAACATACAAGAATAGCCGGGCGCGGTGGCTCATGCCTGTAATCCCAGCAGTTTGGGAGGCCGAGGCGGGCGGATCACGAGGTCAGGAGATCGAGACCATCCTGGCCAACATGGTGAAACCCCGTCTCTACTAAAAATACAAAAAATTAGCCGGGCATGGTGGCAGGCGCCTGTAGTCCCAGCTGCTCAGGAGGCTGAGGCAGGAGAATGGCGTGAACCTGGGAGGCGGAGCTTACAGTGAGCCAAGATCGTGCCACTGCACTCCAACCTGGGTGACTCAGTTTCAAAAAAAAAAAAAAATACAAGAACAATAAAGTTGGCTAGCTGTTAGATTGCCCAGGCTCCCTAGAAAGGGCAGCTAACAAACAACTGAAAACTAAGCGTGAAGGTCAGAGGGCTCTTTGGTAGCTCACAAACAGGTCCTTATCACCTACGAAGGGAGGCAGTAAAAGATGAAGAACAAACTCAGGATGGCTACAGACCACTGCTTCACGGTGGCTGAATGCTCAGCCAAGGCAGGTTTGTTACGCCAAGGTCAGGATCCTGATTTGGAAAACCTAGAAGCCTGATAGACAGGTTACGGATAGATGGCTGCCCCCAAAGATTGTCATTTCCAAATCCTTTGAACTCTGAGTCTTCAGGGATGAGTTAGCACTCCCTGCTGCGCAGCAGCACACTTCAGAGGTCTGTCACCTGCAAGGCAACACAGGGGCTCCCTCAGGATCTGTCCCTATCTGCATTCCTAGATGCCATGATAATAGCTAGTGCTAACCCTGCCAAGGACATCTTGGACCTCATAAAGGAGAACAGAGACTATAATCCCCAAAAGAATGGCAAGAATTAGCCAGGGTACCAGCAGGACTGGCATAAACCACAGTGCTAGATTTTCAAGGTGCTTAAGCAAGCAGGAACATTAGACTGAGTAAGGTCAAGTTTACTGGTTGAGAAAGGGGCTGTCTCAGGATATGAGAATTAACACTGTGGCAGGGACCTGGGAGATGGCATAAACTTGCTGTCAGGGTGGCTCCTAGCAGCCTGGAGAAAATGATGGCCCAACCTAAGTCAGGCTGAAATGACTGAATTGACATAGCAGAGAGCAGAGGACAGGATTAAAAAGCTCAGGAAAGTGGGTATGATAGAGCTGTGTATACCATGTGAGGAGAGAAGACCATGCATCAAAGCTATCAGGAATATACTGGGGAGAGAGGCACCAGCATCACTAAGAAGTTCAGTGGTGGCGCTCCTCTAAAGGAAAGGCTCATTGATAGCAATAGGGGCCAGGTGGTGGCACTTAAACACCAGAAGCTAGTGAACTCTTACCATTATGATTCATGTTGAAAGACAGCCAATAAGACTTAACTTTCAGGGAGCTGTGGAGATAGTTAAGAGAATATGGTGCAGGCTGGGCAATGTGGCTCATTCCTGTAATCCCAGCACACTCTGGGAGGCTGAGGTGGGTGGATCACTTAAGGTCAGGAATTCAAGACCAGCCTGGCCAACATAGTGAAAACCCCCGTCTCTACTAAAAATACAAAAATTAGCCAGGTGTGGTGGTGGGCACCTGTCATCCCAACTGCTGGGGAGGCTGAGGCAGGAGAATCACTTGAACACGGGGAGGTGGAGGTTGCAGTGAGCTGAGACCACACCACTGCACTACAGCCTGGGCAACAGAGTGAGACTCCATCTCAAAAAAAAAAAAAAAAAAAAAAAAGAGAATATGGTGCCATAAGGAAAAAAACAGACAGATAGTCAAAATCAGTGCTGCTTAATATATATAATCAAAACAAGGCCAGAATTGGATAAGCAGGAGGCTGAGGGTGATTGCACCAATAAAAACCTACTATCCCTTTCCCAGTTCCTGGACCTGAGCCAGTTTTCACATCTAAACTCATATATATATGTAAAATTATTCCCAAGTCCATCCCGAAAGGAACCTATGGCCATTTACTCAGGCAACTATAAAGTGGGGAAGGAGGCCGGGTGCGGTGGCTCACGCCTGTAATCCCAGCACTTTCGGAGGCCGAGGCAGGCGGATCACGAGGTCAGGAGATCAAGACCATCCTGGCTAACACGGTGAAACCCCGTCTCTACTAAAAATACAAAAATTTAGCCGGGCGAGGTGGCGGGCGCCTGTAGTCCCAGCTACTCGGGAGGCTGAGGCAAGAGAATGGTGTGAACCCGAGAGGCAGAGCTTGCAGTGAGCCAAGATCATGCCACTGCACTCCAGCCTGGGCGACAGCGAGACTCCGTCTCAAAAAAAAAAAAAAGAATGTCACTAAAGTGGGGAAAGGAAAATACCCAGACATTTCAAAGACTATGGGTCACAGAGTCTGACTTGATATTGGTATACAGAAACATGGAGCATCATTGTGGCCCTATTATAGCAGTAGAAATACAGGAACCAAGTAATAAATGGAGTCCTGGCCAAAGTCTAGCTTTTAATGGGTCCACTGGTCCACAGACCTACCCAGCAGTCACTTCCCCAGTCCCTCAATGTATAAATGGGATTGGCATACTTGGCAGTTGGGGGTAACTCCCACCCCGGGTCTTTGACCTGAGGAGTAAGAGCTATCAGACAGAGAATGGCCAAGTGAAACCTTCTGAAAATAGCTCTCCGTCCCCTGGGTGTAAATCAAAACCAAAATTGTGTAGGGGGCAGAGGTAAAGGGAATGGCAATGATGAGTGTCACCTTTAAGGATCTCAAAGATTCAAGGGCAGTAGTCCCTATATATATCCATGTAATTCAAAAGTCTAGCCCCTGCAGGAACCAGTTGGATCTACCACAAGCTCAAACAAGTAGCAGCCATGACCACATTGCCATGCTAGATGTAGTATGTTTGTTGTAGCAGATAAATATAGCCTTGGGTACACAGCATGCAGCCATTTATATGGCAAATAAGTTCCTTTCTATCCTAATCAGAAAAGAGGATCAGAAGCAGTTCACTTTCACATGGAACAAACAATAAAATGCATTCATGGTTTTGCTTTGGGGCTATGTTAACTCCACTCTATCATAATAGTCTGCAGAGATCTGGACTCAAAGCATATAGATCCATCACGTCAGTGATACATGTTGATCTTGCAAGATGAGCAAGAGGTGGCTAGCATACTGAAGAACTTGGTGGGGTACATGTGTTCCAAAGAGGGTAAAGAAAAACCCTACCAATATTCAGGGATCTTCCATTTCAGCAAAGTTTTAAGAGTCCAGTGGTCGCAATCATGCCAACACATCCCCTCCAAAGCAAAAGACAAATTGCTGCATCTTGCATCCCCAACTACAAAAAAGGAAGCACAATGTCTGGTAGGCTCCTTCAGATTCTAGAAGTAACACATTCTATATCCAGGAATACCACTGTGGCCCATATACTGGTTGACATGAAAGGCTGCTAGTATTGAGTAGGGGCAACAACTCTGCAGCAAGTCCAGGCTGTAGTGCAAGCAATCCCTATGCTGTTGGAGGTACCAATGGTGGGAAAAGATGCAGTGTAGAGTTTATAGCAAGGAAGAGAATCAAAATGCAGGCCCCTAGAGTTCTGCAGGAAGGCCATGCTATTAGAAAAACAGCTCCTGTGGCCGGGCGTGGTGGCTCACGCCTGTAATCCCAGCACTTTGGGAGGCCGAGGCGGGTGGACCACGAGGTCAGGAGATCGAGACCATCCTGGCTAACACAGTGAAACCCCGTCTCTACTAAAAATACAAAAAATTAGCTGGGCGAGGTGGTGGGCGCCTGTAGTCCCAGCTACTCGGGAGGCTGAGGCAGGAGAATGGCATGAACCCCGGGGGGCGGAGCCTGCAGTGAGCCGAAATCGCGCCACTGCACTCCAGCCTGGGCGACAGCGAGACTCCGTCTCAAAAAAAAAAAAAAAAAAAGAAAAAAAAGAAAAACAGCTCCTGGTGTGCAACTGTGTCCTATTAAGAGATACAATGCTTCATCACTGGGCACCATGTGTCCAGACTTTCCATAATGATCTGCATTCACTAGGACTCGCCAGGTCATAAAGCCAGGTGAGCATAGCAGCAATCCATTATAAGATAGGAATGGCACATCAAGGATCAAAATGAAACAGAACCAAAAGGCACAAGAAGACTGCTATAAGCAGGCAGCCAAGACTTCCCTGGCACTCACCATACTAGCACCATTTCCTCAGCTCACATCTATAGCTATTTGGGGTATCCTATAAGACCAACTTAAGAAGGAGAAAAAAGCCAAAGTTTTGCTTATAAGTAGGTCAGCTCAGTATGTGAATGCAAGCTGAAAAAAACAACGGAGTTCATTATAGCCACACTTAGGGGTGACCTTGACAATGAAAAGGGAAAATCTTCTTAACAGACAGAGCTTTGAGTCGTGCACCTGGTTATGAATTTTATGCAGAAAGAAAAGTGGCCTGGGGTGAGAATATATAGACTCACGGGCAATGGCAAGTAGACTGGCCAACTGGTTAGAGGCCTTTAAGGAGAAGGACAAAGGCAAGGGGTATGGGTGGAGGGAAATGAATGAATATATGGGAGTGGGTGGAAAGTATGAAAATCTTTGTTTCATGTGTTAATGCCCACCAGAAAGTATCCAATACAGAAGAGCCAATGAACAGCCAAGGAGACAAAATGACTCAACTAGCTGACATCGGTCACCCAGAAGTGGCAAGATGGGGACATAAATGGAGAGGTCACTGTGGCAGAAATAGAGATGGAAGCAGAGAAGGAGACATGGACTCCCATTTACCAAGGCCAACTCTGAACATCCAACCTATGAGCAACAAAGACCAACACCAAGCCCCCATATAGCATTATGCCTCAGGCAGACCAACAGACTATTAAGTGGTAAGCTGACTACACTGGGCCTCTTCCATCTTGGATGGGCCAGTGATTGATCTTCACAGGATTAGACATTTATTCCAGGTATGGGTTTGCCTTTCCTGTCCATAGAGACCTAGCCAGTACCACTAAATATAGACTTATACAGCACTTAATCAACAGACATGGAATCCAGCCAAGGGAATCACTTCACAGTGAAAGATTTGTGGCAGTAGGCCCATAACCATAAGCTCCAGTAGTTATATCCATAACAGCTCCATACAAAAGGACCAGTCTTAGAGAGTATTGGAATGGCCTGCTGCAGGCACAGCTAATGTACTAGCTCAGAGACAAAAATGGTGTGCTATCCTCTTGTATGCAGTACATGCACTGATTTAGAGCTAGGTTCCCAGTAAGAAGAATACATGGGTCTGAGAACCAAGAAGTGGAAAGGGAAATAGCCCCTACTCGCCATCATTCCCAATGATCTACTTTGTGCTTCCCATCTCTGCAATGTGGGGCTCTACGGAGTTAGAAGTCCTGGCACCCAAAGCGGGCACACTTTTGCCAAGAGACACATGAAAGGTCACAGTGAACTACAATTTACAGCTGCAGCCTGAATACTGAGTATTCCTTGTGTCCAAGGACTAGAAAGCAGTAAGAGGAATGCCCATCTTGGCAAGATTAATTAACCCTCATCCTCAGGAGGAAGTAGGGCTGCCGTTACACAAAGGGAACAAGAAAGAATATGTGTGGGACTCAGATGATTCCCTAGGATACCACTTAATACTCCCTGCCCAGTAGTGACTATGAATGGGCAAATGCAACCACTCCAGTCTCAGACCCCTCAGAAATGAGGGTTTGGGTCAAACCACTAGGTAAACAACCAACACCAGCAGAAATGATAGCTGAGGGCAAGGGCAATTTAGACTACATAGTGGAGATGGCTCTAGAACTTTGTGGCTCTGAGACCAGCTACAGTGATGAGCCTGAGGCCTGTCTCACTAATCTCTTTCTACATTTCCTCCCTTGGAGGAGCTGCTCTCAGAAACTGTGAAGATATGGATCTGTGCATCATGAGGAATGGACTGTAGCAATCACTTGGATCTTCCTTCAAAAAAGAATTGCCATTCAGGTCCAAGGAGTTTGGTTAGCTAACAGCCTCCAGCTGCAGCATGTTCAGAATTCATCTCAGCTTCCCAGTCATGACCATGCTCTCCTTGGGCAGCTCTAGCCAGTGACTAAACATGGTGGGTGTACTAAAATCTGGCCATTTCTGCCCATGCAGGCCTCCTCTAACAGGCAATATGTGCTCTGAAGTTCCCTGTTAGGTTGACTGAGATTTTTTCAGATCTGCATCACAGACTGAGGCTCTCCCTAGGCAATTCTGCTTTCTCCCCATTTCCTTTCATAGGCATTCCATCCCATAAAACCTCTTGTGCTACTACATCCATTTCAACGTCTGCTTCCCAGCGGACCTGAACCAATACACTATGTACTTAGCTCTTTACATGTATCTGTTTATTTAACCCACTGATGTATTATTGTTAGTCCCATTTTACAGGTGAGAAAACTGAAGCACAAAGAAGTTATTAACTTGCCCAAGATCACAAAGTGAAAGGAGAATTAAATTTGAACCCAGACAGTTTGACTCTAGAGCCTGTAATTTAATCACTATGCTGGGAGAGACAGGATACTGTCTTGTCATCTTTAGATATTAAGAGTGATTATTTATTCTGTGTAATTTTAAAGAGTAAAAGAGCAAAAGGATATATACTAGAAAAAAAGCTAGATTTTTGGCTGAATATAAAAAGAAATAATACTGCTAATATTCTAATAACGTGCAGAATGAGCACCTTCAGGAAGTAATCAGGGCCTATCATCTGAGAGTTCAAAGTCTCGGATACGGTGAGGGTGAGACTTTAAAAAACAGGTAAAAGTTGACCTACATCAGTAAAGGGTATTAATTACTAAGGCCTACGTGGAAAAAAGGGGTTCCACAACCAAATAAGTTTGGGTAATATAGCCAGGCACACTGGCTCATGCCTGTAATCCCAGTACTTTAGGAGGCTGAGGCAGGTGGATCATCTGAGGTCAGGAGTTCGAGATCAGCCTGGCCAACATGGTGAAATCCCATCTCTACTAAAAATACAAAAATTAGCCAGACATGGTGGTGCATGCCTGTAATCCCAGCTAATCAGGAGGCTGAGGCAGGAGAATTATTTGAACCTGGAAGGCGGAGGTTGCAGTTAACCAAGATGGTGCCACTGCACTCCAGCCTGGGTAACAAGAGCAAAACTCCATCTCAAAAAAAAAATTGGGGTAATACATAGCTGAACAAAGTTAAACAAGTTTCTTCCACTCCTCAGTCTTTAGAATACTAACGTGCATTTGCAAACTTCTACCTAAGGGATATATAGTAAGCTGAAAACCCAAACTTATTTGACTAAAGAACATCTCCTTGCTCCTAGGGAACATACTTTAGAAATCCTGGATGGGCTCAGAGAGGTGGCTCATGTCTCTAATCCCAGCACTTTGGGAGGCCGAGGCGGGTGGATCACTTGAGGTCAGGAGTTCCAGACCAGCCTGACCAACATGGTGAAACCTTGTCTCTACTAAAAATACAAAAAATTAGCCAGGTGTAGTGGTGGGTGCCTGTAGTCCCAGCTACTCGGGAGGCTGAGGCAGGAGAATTGCTTGAACCCGGGAGGCAGAGGTTGCAGTGAGCCGAGACCACACCACTGCACTCCAGCCTGGATGACAGAGCGAGACCCCATCTCAAAAAAAAAAAAAGAAAAAACACACATACACACACACATAGACACAGGACAAGATTCACAGGATGAAAAAAGAGTGTGGACTTTCTAGTCAGAGATATATGAGCTTGATATATAAGTTTGAATCATCAATGTGGGCTTAAGCTTAGGAAAATCAATAAAACTCTCCAAGCCTCAGTTCCCTCAGCTGTAAAATGCATAATAATATAATGACCTTATAATATCCTTAGTAAGAGTTACAAATAACATATGTGAAACACTTACCAGAAAGATGGCACACTACAGGGAAAGCTTTTATATTCCACAAAAAGTAATACAAGGTAAAAGAATCAAGGAAAACTCCATAAACCTGGAATCTTGGAAGAACAGGATGCAAAAACAGGAGGGAGGAATGATCAGCTTGGAACCAAATCATGAAGGCTGTATGCCAGGTTAAAGAATCTCAACCTTGCTTTTTAAACACTGAGCAGAAATTTCCATGAGTGACCTCACAATAACTTCAAAAATAATTTACCTCGGCTACTACTACTAAAAAAAAAAAAAAAAAGACAATTATCACCAGAATCACAAAAAGGCCTACATGATGTACTGTGAAGTTCAAGTTTCAAACTGGCAGTGTTTTATTTTAATTACCTTTTAGGGACTGTTTCTCCTGCTCAACTGAAAATGAAAAATGGAGATTAAAGTTTGTATAAATCCTGACAGGGTGTTTTTACAAAATTTTGACATTGCTTGTTCTATCTTTTCTTCTTTTTTTTTTTTTTTAAGACAGTATGTTCCCCTGTTGCCCAGGCTGGCGTGCAGTGGCGTGATCTCGGCTCACTGCACCTCCCCTCCGGGTTCCCAGGTTCAAGCGATTCTCCTGCCTCAGCCTCCTGAGTAACTGAGATTACAGGGGCCCAACGCCACGCCCAGCCAATTTTTGTATTTTTAGTAGAGACAGGGTTTCACAATGTTGGCCAGGCTGATCTTGAATTCCTGACCTCAAGCGATCCATCCACCTCGGCCTCCCAAAGCGTTGGGATTACAGGCATGAGCCACCGTGCCTGGCCCTATATATCTCATCTATCTAGCTATCTATCTAGCTATCATCTATCATCTATCTATCTATCTATTTAGAGATTAGGTCTCACTATGTTGCCCAGGCTGGAGTGGGGTGGCTATTCTCAGACATGATCCCACTACTGATCAGCATGGGAGTTTTGAGCTGCTCCATTCCCAGCCTGGGCCAGTTCACCCCTCCTTAGGCAACCTGGTGGTCTCCGACTTCCAGGAGGTCACCCCCTCTCAGGAGGTCACCATACTGATGCCAAACTTAGTGCAAACACTGATCAGCATAGCACACTACAGCCCAGAACTCCTGGGCTCAGGCAATCTTCCCGCCTCAGCCTCCCAAGTAACTGAGACTAGACGCACATGCCACCACACCAGTCAGTTTATTTTAGTAAAGAGAATTTTGAGATAGACTCTGTTGGGCTATGTAACATATAAAAATATGTACAATTTACTCTTTCTTCATTTTAATAAAATGAAATCTCACAGATAAACAGCAAACTTTAATCATGAAAGGTTAGAAAAGAACCAAACTATATTGCAAACAGAAATGCATATCTTTTCATTAATCCTACCAGAAAGGCTCCAGAACTACTGTTTTTGTAACTTTATACGGAAACTATATCATCCAAAGGAACTAAAAGATTGTATAATAAACCAGAACAAGCCTTTCAGCTTAAAATCACCACTACAGGCCGGGCAGTGGCTCACACCTGTAATCCCAGCACTTTGGGAGGCCAAAGCAGGTGGATCACGAGGTCAGGAGTTCAAGACCAGCCTGGCCAAGATAGTGAAACCCCGTCTCTACTAAAAATACAAAAATTAGCCACGCGTGGTGGCAGGGCATACCTTGAATGAGTAACCAAAACATCGGGTAATATTCTACATACAAGACAAACAATGACATTTGTATTTATATAAAATTATGTATCATTGAGAGGTAACGGCAATTCTTAAAATCTGTCATGCCTGACTGCCTAGAAATGTTAATATGAAACTAGACTGTAAATTTTTAGAAATGTTTCAGTAGAGTTAAAGAAAAACTAAACTCAGGCATTACAATTGCCTTTTCTTAAGAAATATTCATATTGCCCAGGCGCGGTGGCTCACGTCTGTAATCCCAGCACTCATTCAAGGTATTAAAGCCTTCCTATGAGGTTTTTTAGGACATAGTTCAAAGTCAGCAATAATTACTTGCTAATGTTTCTAAAGTTTTTTTTCAAACCAGTTAGGAAATACTACAGGGAACCATTGTTTGAGTAAACAAAGTGCAAGTTTTAGACCTTCATTCTACATGTTCAAGATCAGCCTGGTCAACACGGCAAAACCCCATCTCTACTCAAAATACAAAAATTAGCGGTGCATAGTGACAGGCGCCTGTAGTAACAGCTACTCGAGAGGCTGGGTCAGGAGAATTGTTTGAACTGGGAGGTGGAGGTTACAGTGAGCCAAGATCACACTACTGCACTCTAGCCTGGTTGACAGAGCGAGAGTCTATCTCAAAAAAAAAAAAAAAAAAAAAAAAAAAAAAAAAAATCATGTTAAGGCTGGGAACAGTGGCTCATTCCTGTAATCCCAGCACTTTGGGAGGCCAAGGCAGGCAGATCACTTGAGGTCAGTTTGAGACCGGCCTGGCCAACATGGTGAAATCCCGTCGCTACTAAAATTACAAAACTTATCCAGGCATGGTGGCGCGCACCTGTAGTCCCCGCTACCAGGGAGGTTGAGGCAGGAGGATCGCTTGAATCTGGGAGACAGAGGTTGCAGTGAGCCAAGACTGCGCCACCGCACTCCAGCCTGGGCAACAGAGCAAGACTCCATCTCAAAAAAAAAAAAGAAAGAAATATTCATATTAATAGAAGACAGCCTTTTATACAGCTGAAGTCCTCACACCACCATTCCTATCACCACCCAATGTGGTTAATCAGTTCTATTAACCAGAGTTCACTGTTTACTAAACAGGAAACTAGAAAGTTTACAGCTTTTTTTGTTTTTGAGATGGAGTTTCGCTCTTCTTGCCCAGGCTGGAGTGCAATGGTGCAGTCTTGGCTCACTGCAACCTCCGCCTCCCTGGTTCAAGCAATTCTCCTGTCTCAGCCTCCCAAGTAGCTGGGATTACAGGTATCTGCCACCATATAGTGGTGATTTTGAACCGAAAGGCTTGTATTTTCAGGAGAGACAGAGTTTCACCATATTGGCCAGGCTGGTCTCGAACTCCTGACCTCAGGCGATCGGCCCACCTCAGCCTCCCAAAGTGCTGGGATTACAGGCGTGAGCCACAGCGCCTGGCCTACAACTTTTATCCTCAGGCCAAAAACATTCCCTATCATCAAAGAATCTGGCAATGCATCTGCAAGTAAAAGCTTCAACAATTTACCTAATGACTGTAAATAAAAGTTATTAACCAGGAGCATGGTGGCTCATGCCTGTAATCCCAGCACTTTGGGAGGCTGTGGGTGGATCATTTGAGGTTAGTAGCTCCAGACCAGCCTAGCCAACATAATGAAACCTCGCCTCTATTGAAAAAAAAAAAGTTATGAACCGCAGATAGAGCCTTACATTACCACTTCACACTCATTAGGATGGTTATAATCAAAAAAACAGATAACAAGTGTTGGTGAGGACGTGAAGAAATTGGAACCTTCATACAACGCAGGTGGGATTGTAAAAAGGTGCAGCTACTTTGTAAAAACAATCTGATAGTTTCTCGAAAGGTTAAACATACAGCTACCATTTGGCCCAGCAATTCCATCCCTATAAATACCCAAGAGAAATGAAAGCATATTTCCACACAATAATTTGCACATGAATGTTCACAACAACATTATTTATAGTAGCCAAAAAGTGGAAACAGCCCTAACTGATGAATAAAATGTGGTATTTCCATACAATGGAATATTATTCAGCAATAAAAAGAAATGAAGTACTGACACTTGCTACTGAACCCTAAAACTATTATGCTAAGTAAGAGAAACCAGTCATATATCGTATGATTCCACTTACATGAAATGTCTCGATAGGCAAATCCATAGAGGCAGAAAGTACATTAGCGGTTGCCTAGGGCTGGGAGGATTAGGGAGATCCTGGGAGTGACTGTTAATGGGTACAAGTTTCTCTTTGGAGTGATTAAAATGTTCTAAAATTAGACAGCAGTGATGTTTGCACAACTCTGTGAATATATAATACTGTTCTAACTTTTCCAGTTCCGTAAATGGGCTATTTACCATAATTTAAAAGAAAAATATAAGTATTAATTAATTTGTAAAATAGAAAATACTTTATGCGTTGAGTATCCCTTATCTAAAATACTTGGAACCAGAAGCATTTGGGACAGATTAGAATTCTGACGCAAGTCTAAACACAAAATTCATTTGTTTCATGTATACTTATACGCATAGCCTAAAGGTAACTTTATACACTATTTTTAATAATTTTGTACATGAAACAAAGTTTTGACCATTTTGATTGTGACCCATCACATGAGATCAGGCGTGGAATTTTTCCACTTGTGAGATCATGTCAGTGCTCAAAAAGTTTTGGACCTTTGAGCATTTCGAATTTCAGACTTTTGGATTAGGGATGCTCAACCTGTAAAAACAGCACTTTTCAAATTATTTTATTAAATAAATTTTACCATTATAAAATATAAGGTATTCTACTACATAACTAAATGCTAATTCTACTGACACCTTGGTTCCTCCTTAATTTAGCAATCTCTAATACTTCAAAATTAGATTATGCTGATTTTACTTATTAATAGTAAACTACATAAATAATTAACAATCTTTCAACCTCTTTTTTTCAAAACTCAGAGAAATATATTTTCCAATTCCAGAGTCCGGATTTACCAGGACTCATGGGACTGAACTATAGCTCTGATTTACCCATTATATCATTTAATACTTACAATAATCCTGTAAGGTGACTATTATCAGTTGCATTTTATAGAAAAGAAAATTGAGACTTAAAGAGGGTAACAAACTTGTCCAAGGTTATAAGAAAAGACTGGCAGGCTATAAAATCTAGTTCTAGCCTACTGTAGTTTATAAGGAAAAATCTATGTTCTGAAAACAGTTCTTAAGTAAATTTAATAAATTGAGAGTTTTTTGAAAACTAAATATATGAACTATTTCTATTCAGTGCCTGCAACTACATCTTTTCCAATGATTATTATATACAGTTGTCTCTCTGTATCTGTGGAGGACTGGTTCCAGGAACCCACAGGATACCACAATCTGTGGATGCTCAAATCCCTTATATAAAATGGCACAGTATTTGCATATAACCTATGAACATCCTCCTGTATACTTTAAATAATCTCTAGACTACTTACAATGCCAAATACAATTGTAAGTGCTATGCAAATCAACTGTTATACTGTATTGGGTTTTTATTTGTATTATTTTTATTATTGTATGATTACTTTTGTGTGTGTGTGTGTGTGTGTGTGTGTGTGGATATTTTTGAGCCTTGGCTGGGAGGACCCACAGATACAGAGATCTGACTGTACTAAGAATGTTGCTCTATATAATGCAGGTCAAGTATACACAAGTAAAATTAAAGATCAATGTAAAACTCTGAAAATAAATAATTTGCAACAAGTGTACCCTATATAAAGGGAATACTAATTTATTGGCTAAAAATGAAATGGAAAACATACTAAAATCGAAATTGTTTTCCATAAAAAATTCCAAATCCCAAAAGTAGACTTAGTCTAAAAAAAATAAAGCAACCAAGTTTTAAG
This sequence comes from Homo sapiens, assembly GCF_000001405.40. Classification (NCBI taxonomy): domain Eukaryota; kingdom Metazoa; phylum Chordata; class Mammalia; order Primates; family Hominidae; genus Homo; species Homo sapiens. The sequence goes on along the minus strand of NC_000001.11, from coordinate 52,145,739 downwards.
TCATGCAGAAATCCCAATGCCTGATTTTTGTTTTTCCCAAAAGGAAGAAAGAAATGTACATTTATTGAGCACCTCCTACATGACAAACACTGAGCTAATTGCTTTCGGTTACTTTTATCTCATGGAACCTGTTCTACTTTGCTAGGAGGGGTAGTGTTACCCCAATAGTACATAAGAAACTCAGAATCTAAATGTCACATCGCTTTAAGAGGTGTAGTAAGGATTCCTGCTCACATCTGACTCCATACTCTGTACCACATTATGCAATTAACAACCATAAAACACACATATATACGCCATATCTTTAGGAACATAAGAACTTAAGCTAAAATCCAGGCAATTATCTTTTAAACAAGCTTTGTGCCTTGCAACCAGTCTGTGGCTAGCACGTTTACAAGGTGCCACATAAAAGTTTACTGAATGGAATGAACAGTGGTAGCTTAGCAACAGAGGAAGGAATTATCATCTCTACTCACTCTACCTTTCTAAAAGAGTTAATAGGAAACTATCACCAGGCAATATAAGCAATTATTTCCTTAAAGAAAACACTGAATCAGGAATTGGAAGAGAAAGGAATAATCATACATAAAAAGTATTATCAATGTCCTTAAACGGCAAGATGAGACACAGAAGCCTTAAACAGAGATTTAGCACGTTCCACTCAATTTCAACACTTGTCTGACCTACCTTGTAACAGTTAATTAAAGGTATCCTGCTTCCACAGGACAAGTTTAGTAGAGCCCTTGGTCATTTTTGTGTTTCCTGGAATACCTATAACAGGACCTGGCACTTAAAAGCCAAAATTGTATAAAAATCTTTTACAGATTATAATACCTTTTCAGATTTATTTATCCTAAAAGCCTCGCAAGGTAAGCATAATAACTGAAGTATATGCATTTTACAGACAATGACATTGGTGTCCATTAAGTGCCAAAGTAAATGACAAGGTATTCTTTTAGCACACCACAGCTATCACAGGAGGCTCTCAATAAATGGTTGCTGATTGGATCAGCTGTCCCTCAAAATATCACTTTTCTTTCTAAGATTATTTACTACGAAAAATGACATCCTTTGAGCTGGAGCTGCAAGGAAGTAAAAAAAAAAAAAAAAGAAAGAAATGACTATTGCCACTAAAGACTTATAGTTTTGCTAGAAAATAGACACCTTCCTTCGGCTCAGCAAGGTTAGTTAATTTTAAACTTACTGTATCAGTGATTCTCAAACTTTAGTAGGTCTAAGAATCAGGGAGACTGATAAAAATAAAGTTCTTTGGGCCATCGTCATCCCTAGAATTTCAATTCAAGGGACCAAGAATCTGCATATTACATATAATACTTATATATATAACAAGCACTCTCAACTGATTCTAATGTTGGTGGTCTTGAGGGACACACTGAGAACTGTATTCAACTTTTTTTTTTTGAGATGGAGTCTCGCTCTGTTGCCCAGGCTAGAGTCAGTGGCCCAATCTTGGCTCACTGCAACGTCTGCCTCCCAGGTTCAAATGATTCTTGTGCCTCAGCCTCCCGAGTAGCTGGGGCTACAGGTGGGCACCACCATGCCAGCTAATTTTTGTATTTTTAGTAGAGACGGGGTTTCACCATATTGACCAGGCTGGTCTTGAACTTCTGACCTCATGATCCACCCGCCTCGGAGAGGGGCATCTTGCTTACGTTGCCCAAGCAGGACTGGAACTCCTAGGATCAAGGGGTCCTCCCCATTCAGCCTCCCTAGTAGGCCTAGCCATCACACTTTGCCTGAATTAGACTTTTAAAAATCGAGATTAACCTACCCAAATAACTGGTAATGAAGCCAATTTTTAAAAGAAATACTTAAAATCTGACAAAAACAATGCAAGGCTACAGCATCTAACACAGTAGGTCTTCAAAAACGTGTACCATGCCAAACTTTCTCCCTAGATGGAGACCCCATGCTGCATAGAAGGTTAAGTCAGGGATCTTTTAGGTAGTTACCCATATTCTTCTGTTTTAATTGATGAATTCAACATGGTTCCAATGTAATTTAGTAAAATATTTTTACAGGTCTTATACAAATGACAATGTAAAATGGAACAGTCAGATAATTTTAAACCTAATATACAGAAATAATAATTTTAAAAATCACTGTCAGTACGAGCCCATTATAAACCTGTACTGTTTACAATCTGTGAGATTATGGGTGATTTCTCCTATTATTAAATATTTATTAAGAGCCAACATGGTACCTTTCTATAATTCCCAAGTTTTCTACAATAAGCATATTTTTTCATGATTATAAAAGTTTTGCAAGTACCTATAAGTCTTATAACTTTCACATACATAACAGGAAAACAAGAATAACCTGTAATCACATTTCTCACAAAACATAAATATCTGACTTACGGTATCAAACTGTAATCAGTAGCATTTTCAACATTAATATCAGAACAAATCATTTTATTTCTAAAATTTAGCATGTATCCCATTTCCTTCAGGTATTTATTAGGGTAGCTGGCACTTAAAGAGGACTTAAAATCCTTTTGCCAACTATTCTCTGGATCTCTTTAAGTGGAACATTTTTGTACCGAACACTGAAGCATAAAAATATTTCTTCTGGCGGGGTGTGGGGGGCAGACCTTTGTAAAAGACGTTTTTATAACTGTGAGTGTTTATCTACAAAACTTAGCATCGCAAAGATGCGATGGGGCTTTCTCCAAGGCAGACCACGCTTAGAGGCAAGATATAATATAAAGAGGCAGGAATGAGCAACCGGCAGGTGATGAAATTTCACCTCAAATAAGACGCAAAAGGTTGTTCTCGAGCAAGCCAGATCCATGAATGACACTCCAGGAGTAGCAGGGGCTCTCTTGGTCCCGCACTCTCTGCACCCCCAATTCTCACCCTGGCCTTCCTCTCCTCCCCCTTTCCCCGCCACAACCGGGATTCTGAGGGACTCGGTATGGGACGCGTGGAAGCCAAAGCTTGTTTGCAAACAGGCGTCATCTGCCTCCCTCCGGGATGTACGTGCAGGGCCCGGGCTAAGAGGCTGCGCTCGGCCCGGGCCCATGCAAACCCGAAAGGCGGCCGTGCTCCTGCCGGCCCCCAGCTCCACACACCCGGCCGCGCCGGAACCGAGGCCGGAGCGAGGGCTTCCCAACGGCGCGGGGCCTAATCGCCCCCCACGGCCTTCAGCCTCCCGGGGGACGCGGGGAGAAAGGGCTGAGGCCCCAGGACCGCAGGGTGGGGGAGGCGACCGCAGTGGCAGGACGCCCCGTCCGCCCGGCCCGCGGTCTGCCGCCAGGGCCCCCACAGGCGGCGGGAGGCCGGCGAGCCCCGGACCACGCCGCGCCACACTCACCTCGAGCAGCGGCCGCCTCCGCTTCAGCATGGCCACGGGGGTCGTCCCTGAGCCGAAAGCCTCCTCCGGAGGGCACCGGCGCGGCCCCAGGCGCCGCCGCGAAACCTCCCACTCCTGTAGGAGCTGCGGTAGCCGCAGCTGCGGCTGCTACTGCTGCTAAGGCCCGGCACCCGCCCAGCCGCATCGGCGCCCGGGCCGCGGCAGCCACGCGGATCCCGGAGGAGCGCCGCCGAGCCGGGCCGGGGGCGCAAGGCTGCGGCGGGACGACCGAGGTGCGGCAGGCGGGGATCCTCAGCGAAGCCTCCAGCGTCGGGTGGCCGCTCCTGCCGCCGGCGCCGCTGGGCCACAGCGCCCCCTGGACCCCACGTCCGGCTACGGCGTCGGGACTGCGGCGGCCGCGCTGGGCACGAGCCGCAGGGAACGCTAAGGAGCGCGGCCTGGGGGCGGCGAGGGCCCCGTGCTCCCTGCGTAGCCCGCGGCCCGCGGCCGGCCCGGGACTCCGCTTCCCGGGAACCGGAAGCCCCTCAGTTCCCACCAACCCCTGGCGTTCCCCGCCCCCGCCAGACCCGAGCACCTTTTCGTTCTCTCCCGAAGATACGTGAACGTTCTTGTCACTCGGACCCGCACCTGAGAGCAGGAATATAAGGGAATCTCCGTTTGACTCTCACGGTTTCGGGGGTGGCAGGGAGACCCCCTTCTAATTCCTTTAATGCGTCTGGATGAAAGAAGAGTGACCCAGAACAAACCTTTTTTTCAAACATACACACTCGTCTCCCAAAACAGACGAAGGAATTGTCTTTGACCTTAACTTGTTTTTTTATCTACTGTGTAGATCATTAAGAAATTTTCTACAGATATCAACCAAACCCTTAACACCTAAACCACCACCCCCACAAAACAAAAATGAAAAAAAAATACATACATATATATATATGCCAAGCCAGAGAAGAGAATAGCCAACGGGTTGTCCTGAAATTCATAAACAACTTAAAGGTAAGCAAAGAATCACCCATCTTTTACTAACATCCTCTCCCTCCCAACCTCTTCTCTCCCACCTTTCCACCCCTCATCCCAGGCAAATCCTAGTAAGGCTCTGAAGGAAGGAAATTATTACACAGTGGGGGCTATGGAATCATTCTGTTTACAGATGCCCCATATTTGATCCCAGTCAGCCTCTAGGGTGCAAACATCAGAACCAAAAACAAACACGACTGTCAGAGGGGAAGTAGGGAAAGAAAATTCTCCAAATCCTCTGATCCCTAAATTTTCCAAATACACTTTTTTAACAGAGTGGTATACTAGAATGTGTAGTGATTTTGGTGTCAGACACATACCAACACTACCAGTTCCAGTTCTGTCATGTATATATAGCTTTATGACCCTGGGGAAGTTATGTAACATTTTTGAACTTCAGTTTTCTCCTGCCTGCCTTGCTGGTTGTTGAAGATTGGAGATAAAGAGACTGGCCCATAGAAGATACTTAATAAATGTTAGTTACAATTTTTATTGGTTCCAGTTCTTTTTCTTAGGCTCAATTTTGTACTCCTCTGTTTTTGTTTCTCATTCTCTCTCTCTCTCTCTCTCTCTCTGTGTGTGTGTATGTGTGTGTGTATGTGTGTGTGTAACTGTATTTCTGTCAAAAGATAGATGCTCCATTCTTCATCCTCCCTAGTCTGGGTGAAATTTCCCTAAATTTCACTAATGGGTTTATGTAACACCCCTCCATGGAAGAATAGAGCCTCATACACTGGATCCTATGACATTCTGTTGCACAGCAGATAGCAGCATGCAACCAGTATTTTTTATGTATAAAAAATGTTATAAGGCAATCTCACCTTACCTTAGGTTATGGCCTAATGATGATAAATAATAGAAACTACAAAAGGTCTCCAGGAATCATTCATTTAATAATTGAGCAGCCACCATGGAGAAGATGTCACCTAGTAGCTCTCTTAATGAAAGCTGTTCCTGCATAATCCTAAGTGTGCCTTTGCCACATACTCCTGAGTCACAAAAAAATCACTATGCCCTTTCTATAACAAGAGAAACTGGGGCTCAAAGGGAAACCATGATTCATCCTCGCAGTGATTCTATGAGTTAGGTCCTATGCTACCATTTTACATGTGAAATATATCCAACCTAAGGAAGAGCTGGAAGTAGACCCTGAGATTCCCTTCAGTCCCCAACCTGATGCCCCAACAGTCCTTTCAACAATATTAACAAAATGCTGTAAGGGTCATTTGTTGCTAAAAAATGTTTAGTCAAGGGAAAAGGGCCCTTCAACTGATTGAGATCATTAGCGCTGTAACCTAATATTAGCACTGTATTTTTCATGCCTAGATCACTGCCACCACAGGAAACCTGCATTTGTTTATGAATAATCATGCAACCCAGGGCATAGCTACTACATGAAGAAGATGATTCATTTGTTCCCAAGACCAGTTTCCTCTTGCTTCACACTTTCTCTCCTTGTTGCTGAAAGCAGCTGCCTTTATCATCACAACCTCCCCGCTGATCGGAGTAGTCCACTTTAAATCATTTCATCCTCTTCAATTTCATTCCATCGTTTTCAGTTTGCCCTCTGCTTCTAAAATGTCTCTCACCTGTTTTCCTCTCTTGTACTGTAAATCTCTTGTTCATTTTAATCTCCCTTGGGCTTCTGTCAATTGATTTGGCTACCCTCATCTCAATTTTTCATTGATTTCCCCTATTAGCTAGCAACCGTAAAATGTCTATTCCCAACCTGGTAGACCTCCCCACTTTCATTTTTATACTGTCTACATCCTGTAGAAAGCCAATATTCTAAGAATCTTTTTTCAACTGAGTTTAAGCACTAGCACCCCAAGCAAAATATTCTTTGCTCTTTAAAATTAGTTTTTAAAATTCAGGCCAAAAAGATACCCGTTTCCTGACTTGGCGAATGGCACCATCATCCACCCAGATGCCCAAGCCAAAAATCTTGGATTCATTCTTAACTCTTGTGTCTTTCTCCTGGGCAAGTAGTTACAAAGCCTGATAAATTTTACTTTTTTGCTTTTTAAATTTCTCTTCTCCTGTCCAACTCCACTGCCACTCACTTTGGTCTAGGATATATGCTCAATAAATTATAAGTGAACTGAATGAAAAAAAGGAAGAATTGATGAATGCATATTCTATTTGGATATAAGAGTAAATACTGGCCGGGTGCAGTGGCTCATGCCTGTAATCCCAGCACTTTGGGAGGATGAGGCATGTGGATCACCTGAGGTCAGGAGTTCAAGATCAGTCTGGCCAACGTGGTGAAACCCTGTCTCTACAAAAATACAAAAATTAGCCAGGCATGATGGCGAGTGCCTGTAATCCCAGCTTCTTGGGAGGCTGGGGCAGGAGAATCGCTTCAACGCCAGAGGCAGAGGTTGCAGTGAGCCAAGATCGCACCATTACACTCCAGCCTGGGCAACAGAGCAAGACTCAGTTTCAAAAAAAAAAAAAACAAGTAAATACTGTATAAAAGTTTGTTTAAAGGAAGACACAAAACCCCTTCCATGCTCCTATTAATCCTTGTGCTTCCCAATTTGTAACTACTCATCACTCTACAGTCAGTATCTATTTACTTATATGTCTCCCCTACCAAATTGTAAGCCCCTGTTTGACAGGTTCAGTGTTTGATTCATATCTGTGTCCCTAGAACCAGTCTCAGCACAAAGTACACCCCAGAGGATGTTAAGCTGAACTGAACTTCCCTCATCAGACTGTAGATAGCCTGCATCCCACATGCTCAGTGACTTTTTAGAACTTTTCCTTTAAATTTCAGGGCCCACAAAAAATAAGACTCCCGGCCGGGCACGGTGGCTCACACCTGTAATCCTAGCACTTTGGGAGGCCGAGGTGGGCAGCCCACGAGGTCAGGAGATCAAGACCATCCTGGCCAACATGGTGAAACCCTGTCTCTACTAAAAATACAAAAATTAGCCAGGCATGGTGGTGTGTGTCCGTGATCCCAGCTACTCAGGAGGCTGAGGCAGGAGAATCACTTGAACCCAGGAGGCGGAGGTTGCAGTGAGCTGAGACTGTGCCACTGCACTCCAGACTGGGCGACAGAGCGAAACTCCGTCTCAAAAAGAAAAAAAAAATTACCAGGCATGGTGGCAAGAGCCTGTAGTCCTGGCTACTTGGGAGGCTGAAGCAGGAGGATCGCTTGAGCCCAGGAATTTGAGGTTACAGTAATCTATGATTGCCCCACTGCACTCCAGCCTCAGAGACAGAGTGAGACCCTGCCTCTAAAAATAAAATAAAATTATTTTTAAAAAATTAGCAAAGCAGTTCTCATTCTAGGAGATGAGGATATGTAACTAATCAAATATAAATATATGGACAAAGATAGATGCAAAAAGATGTTAATTGTAGGTTTTACTGTAAGTTTATGACATAATGTGAGGAAAACCCTAAATAAATAAATTAAAATACCTCCACATGCCAGGCACTATGGCCCAAGCCTGTAATCCCAGCACTTTGGGAGGCCGAAGCGAGTGGATCATCTGAGATCAGGAGTTTGAGACCAGCCTGGCCAACATGGCAAAACCCCATCTCTACTAAAAATACAAAAATTGGCCGGGCATGGTGGTGCATGCCTGTAATCCCAGCTACTCAGGAGGCTGAGGCAGGAGAATTGCTTGAACCTGGGAGGCAGAGGTTGCAGTGAGCCGAGATCATGCCACTGCACTCCAGCCTAGGCAACAAGAAGGAAACTCTATCAAAAAAAAACAAAAAAAAACCTCTACACAAAGAACTATTATGCATCCATTAACAATTGTTTTTAAATAATTTTAAATGACATTGAAAACTGCTTATGATTCAATACCAAGTTAATAAAAAACAGTGTTAAGTACAAAAGACTATTATCCCAATTATGTGCTTTATATACTTACAAAATATATAAATATGATACTTAGAAGGAAATAGTTCAAAATGTTATATGTTTGTGGAATTTTTCGATTTTTTTATTTTGGAATAATACCAGATTTAAAGAAAAGTTGCAAAAATAGTACCCCAAAATCCCACATACTTTTCACCCATATCTAACCACATTTGCTTCATCATTCTCTGTCTCTCACTCTTGCTCTATGTTTTTTCTATCTCTATAGAGAGATATAGATATTGTATTAGTCTGTTCTCATGCTGTTATGAAGAAATTTCTGAGACTGGGTAATTTATAATGAAGAGGTTTAATTGACTCACAGTTCTGCATGGCTGGGGAGGCCTCAGGAAACTTACAATCATGGCAGAAGGCACCTCTTCACAGGGCAGCAGGAGAGAGAATGAGTGCCAAGCAAAGGGGAAAGTCCCTTATAAAATCATCAGATCTCATGAGAACTCACTATCATGAGAACAGTATGGGGTCAACTGCCCCCGTGATTCAATTATCTCCACCTGGTCCCACCCTTGACATGGGATTTTTTTTTTTTTTTGAGACGGAGTCTCACTCTGTTGCCCAGGCTAGAGTGCAGTGGTACGATCTTGGCTCACTGCAACCTCCGCCTCCCGGGTTCAAGCGATTCTCCTGCCTCAGCCTTCCGAGTACCTGGGATTACAGGCGCCTGCCACCATGCCCGGCTAATTTTTGTATTTTTAGTAGAGATGGGGTTTCACCATCTTGGCCAGGCTTGTCTTGAACTCCTGACCTGGTGATCCACCCACCTCGACCTCCCAAAGTGCTGGGATTACAGGTGTGAGCCACCGTGCCTGGGCCCGACACAGGATTATTACAATTCAAGACAAGATTTCAGTGGGGACACAGCCAAACCATATCAGATGTATAAAGAGGCTACTGTAATTTTTTTTTTTTTGAGACGGAGTCTCAGCTGCCCAGGCTAGAGTGCAGTAGTGCGATCTCGGCTCACTGCAACCTCTGCCCCCTGGGTTCAAGTGATTCTGCCTCAGCCTCCCAAGTAGCTGGGACTACAGGCACACACCACCATGCCCAGCTAATTTTTGTATTTTTATTAGAGAAGGGGTTTCACCATGTTGGCCAGGATGGTCTCGATCTCTTGACCTCGTGATCTGCCTGCCTTGGCCTCCCAAAGTGCTGGGATTACAGGCATGAGCCACTGTGCCCAGCCTAATTATTATTATTATTTATTTTTTTTTTTTTGAGATGGAGTGTTGCTCTGTCGCCCAGGCTGGAGTGCAGTGGCCGATCTTGGCTCACTGCAAGCTCCGCCTCCCGAGTTCGTGCCATTCTCCTGCCTCAGCCTCCCAAGTAGCTGGGACTATAGGTGCCCGCCACCACACCCGGCTAATTTTTTGTATTTTTAGTAGAGACGGGGTTTCACCATGTTAACTAGGATGGTCTCGATCTTCTGACCTGGTGGTCCACCTGCCTCAGCCTCCCAAAGTGCTGGGATTACAGGCGTGAGCCACCGTGCCCGGCCTATTATTATTATTTTTAAGAGACACTCTTGCTCTGTTGCCCAGGCTGGAGTGCAGTGGTGCAGTCACAACTCACTGCAGCCTTGAACTCCTGGGCTCAAAGAATCCTCTTGCCTCAGCCTCCTGAGTAGCTGGGACTGCAGGTGTGCACCACCATACCTGGCTAATTTATTTATTTTTTGGTAGAGGTGAGGTCTCACTGTGTTGCTTGGGCTAGTACCAAACTCCCGGCCTCAAGCAATCCTCCTGCCTCAGCCTCCCAAAGTACTGAGATTATAGGCCTGAGCCACCGTGCCTGGCCCATCGTAATCTTCTAATCTATCCCTAAATATTTTTCTGTGTATTTAATCAAAACAAAGACAGAGTACATATATCACATTATAATTATCAAAATTAAAAACTTAACATTGATACAGTACTGTGATCTAATCTGTGACCTTGGATGGGCATGATGGCTCACACCTGTAATCCCAGCACTTTGGGAGGCCAAGGTGGGAGGATCACTTTAGCTCACAAGTGTGAGACCAGCCTGGGCAATATAGCAAGACCCCTATCTCTACAAAAAAATTTTTTTTGGCCAGGCACAGTGGCTCACACCGGTAATCCCAGAACTTTGAGAGGCTGAGGCGGGTGGATCACCTGAGGTCAGGAGTTTGAGACCAGCCTGACCAACATGGTGAAACCCCATCTCTACTAAAAATACAAAATTAGTCAGGTGTGGTGGCACATGCCTGTAATCCCAGCTACGTGGGAGGCTGAGGCAGGAGAATCACTTGAACCCGGGAAGCAGAGGTTACGGTGAGCCAAGGTTGTGCCATTGCACTCCAGTCTGGGCAACAAGAGCGAAACTCTGTCTCCAAAAAAAAAAAAAAAAAATTCTCCTGCTTTTTTTTTTTTTTTTTGGGGCCAGGCACAGTGGCTCATGCCCATAATCTCACCACTTTGAGAGGCCAAGGTGGGCAGATCACCTGAGGTCCGGAGTTCAAGACCAGCCTGGCCAACATGGTGAAACCCCATTTCTACTAAAAATACAAAAATTAGCTGGGCCTGGTGGCTCACACCTGTAGTCCCAGCTACTCGGGCAGCTGAGGCACAAGAATTGTTTGAACCTCAGAGGCAGAGGTTGCAGTGAGCTGAGATCACACCACTGGACTCCAGCCAGGGCAACAGAGTGAGACTCCACCTCCTGCCTCGGCCTCCCAAGTAGCTGGGACTACAGGCATGTGCCACCACACCCGGCTAATTTTTGTATTTTTAGTAGAGACGGGTTTTCACCATGTTGGCCAGGCCAGTCTCGAACTCGTGACCTCAGGAGATCCACCCTCCTCGGCCTCCCAAAGTGCTGGAAATACAGGCGTGAGCCACCATGCCTCGCCTAATATTCTTTATAGAAAAAGAAAATAAGTTTTTGGTTCTGGTCCAGGATCCAGTGCAGGATCACACATTATAATTAATTTCAAGTTTCTTTTATTTTCTTTAATCTGGAACTGTTTCTCAGTATTTTTTCTTTTACAGTCTTTACATTTTTGAAGAATACAGGCCATTTATTTTGTAAAATATCCCTCAATTTGAGTTTTTTTGTTTTTTCTTCATTATTAAATTCAGGTTTTGCATTTTGGGCAGTAATACTACCCAAATGAAGTTGTGTCCCTCTCAGTGTGTCTTATCCAGAGTCATGTGATACTTGTATGTCTCACCACTGATGAGAGTGACTTTGTTCACTTAAGAAGGTATAGGCAGCTGGGCGCGGTGGCTCACGCCTGTAATCCTAGCACTTTGGGAGGCTGAGGTGGGTGGATCACAAGGTCAGGAAATCGAGACCATCCTGGCTAACACGGTGAAACCCCGTCTCTACTAAAAATACAAAAAAATTAGCCAGGCATGGTGGCGGACGCCTGTAGTCCCACCTACTCGGGAGGCTGAGGCAGGAGAATGGCGTGAACCCGGGAGGTAGAACTTGCAGTGAGCTGAGATTGCACCACTGCACTCCAGCCTGGGCGACAGAGCGAGAATCTGTCTCAAAAAAAGAAAAAGGAAAAAAAATGGTATCGGCCAGATTTCTCCACTGTAAAGTAACAATTTTTATCTTTGTAATTAATAAATATCTTGTGGGAGATAATTTGAGACTACCCACTTTTAACATTCATTGGTGATTCTTGCTTGAGACAATTATTACTATAATGGTTGCCGAATGATAATTTTCTAATTCCATCATTATCGTTCCTTATATATTTTAAATTTGTCTTTCTGCTGTATGGGAGAGCTTTTTTATTCTCCTTCATTTATTCATTTATTACTTTGTTTATATCAGATAAACTCATTGATTTTTATTCTATGAATTATGTAATGATTATTATTACAAATAGATGCACCAATTGTTTCAGATTCAGCTGGTTTCTGTGTTCTTTTAACATTTCTTCATCATTTTTTAAGATTTCCCTTACTTTCTGCATTGTGTCCCAGGCACACCTTGTACTTTCCCAGCTCCATCCCTGGAATCACCCATTTCCCTAAAAGCCCAAGTTCCATTTAGTAGAGAATGGTCTTTAGAAATAAAGACCTATGTGCTAGTTGTGCTCATTGCTACTATAATGTCATTGCTTCTAGGTGCTTTCACTGAGCAGAGCTAGAAAATACACACACACACACACACACACACACACACACACCCCAGTTTTTATTTGAACATCATTTTTACCTTAAAGAACAACAGACAAGCTATGGTTATCCAGAGTTGGAAATTTGGCAGACATTTTCTAGAAAATGGACAAAGTAAGACTGTCACTTCCAGGAAAACAACTAACAGTGTTTGTTGCCAATGATAAAATTCAAGTTTTCAAATGAATATTAGAATTTTGAGGCCAGGTGCAGTGACACAAGCCTGTAATCCCAGCACTTTGGGAAGCCAAGGTGGGTGGATCAGCTGATGTCAGGAGTCCAAGACCAGCCTGACCAACATGGCAAAACCCCGTCTCTACTGAAAATACGAAAATTAGCCGGGAGTGGTGGTGGGCGCCTGTAGTCCCAGCTACTGTGGAGGCTGAGGCAAGAGAATCATTTGAATCCGGGAGGCGGAGGTTGCAGGGAGGCAGAGGTTGCAGTGAGCCGAGATTGCACCACTGCACTCCAGCCTGGGCAACAAAGTGAGACTCTATCTTAAAAATAAATAAATAAATAAATTAGAATTTTGAAAAACTCGTATTCACCGCTATGAACTTGAGAGCTTTCTAAACTTTTCTGAAGAGATGGGCGGAGATATTAACTGTTGGAACTGTTGCGGGGTGTTTTTTTTAAATATTGTATAATGAAATGTGTCAACATGTGGAAGATCTGCATAACTTAGTGAACCAGTATTTTTTCTTTTTTTTTTTTTCTTGAGACGGAGTCTTGCTCTGTCGCCCAGGCTGGAGTGCAGTGGCACAGATCTCAGCTCACTGCAACCTCTCCCTCCCAGGTTCAAGTGATTCTCCTGCCTCAGCCTCCCAAGTAGCTGGGATTACAGGCACATGCCACCACACCCGGCTAATTTTTGTATTTTTAGTAGAGGCAGGGTTTCACCATGTTGGCCAGGCTGGTCTCGAACTCCTGACCTCAGGTGATCTGCCTGCCTTGGCTTCCCAAAGTGCTGGGATTACAGGCGTGAGCCACCACACCTGGCAATGAACCAGTATTGTTTCAAATAATGAATGCATGATGTTACAAAAGTACATATAGGCCAGGCCCAGTGGCTCACGCCTGTAATCCCAACACTTTGGAGGCTGAGGTGGGTGGATCACCTGAGGTCAGAAGTTTGAGACTAGCCTGGCCAACATGGCGAATCCCCGTCTCTACAAAAAATATTAAAATTAGCTGGGCGTGGTGGTGGGCGCCTGTAATCCCAGCTACTTGGGAGGCTGAGGCAGGAGAATCGCTTGAACCCAGGAGGCAGAGGTTGTGGTGAGCCGAGATTGCACCACTGGACTCCAGCCTGGGCGACTGAGTGAGACTGTCTGAAAAAAAAGAAAAAAAAAAAAAAAGAAGTACATATAGATAAACTATCTATTTAAAATGTAATATAGACCAATGGATTTAATGTAACAGTATGAAAAGTTCACTGATTTGGTTGCAGAGTCCACATTGCAACTCACCTTTAATAAATTACCACCTGTGGTCAGACATAGTGGCTCACACCTGTAATCCCAGCACTATGGCAGGCTGAGGCAGGAGGATTGCTTGAGGCCAGGAGTTCATTAGAATGATTTAAATCCTATTACCCAGTAATGGGATTGCTGTGTCAAATGGTATTTCTGGTTCTAGATCCTTGAGGAATCACCACACTTTCTTCCACAATGGTTGAACTAATTTACACTCCCAGCAACAGTGTAAAAGTGTTCCTGTTTCTCCACATCCTCTCCAGCATCTGTTGTTTCCTGACTTTTTAATAATCACCATTCTAAGTGGCATGGGATGGTATCTCATTGTGGTTTTGATTTGCATCTCTTTAATGAGTAGTGATGATGAGCTTTTTTTCATATGTTTGTTGTCCACATAAATGTCTTATTTTGAGAAGTGTCTGTTCATATCCTTCACCCACTTTTTGATGGGGTTGTTTGTAAATTTGTTCAAGTTCCTTGTAGATTCTGGATATTAGCCCTTTGTCAGATGGATAATTGCAAAAATTTTCTCCCATTCTGTAGATTTCCTGTTCACTCTGATGATAGTTTCTTTTGCTATGCAGAAGCTCTTTAGTTTAATTAGATCCCATTTGTCAATTCTGGCTTTTGTTGCCTTTCCTTTTGGTGTTTTAGTCATGAAGTCTTTGCCTATGCCTATGTCTTGAATGGTATTGCCTAGGTTTTCTTCTAGGATTTTTATGTTTTAGATCTTACGTTTAAGCCTTTAATCCATCTCGAGTTAATTTTTGTATAAGGTGTAAGGAAGGGGTCCAGTTTCAGTTTTCTGCATATGGCTAGCAAGTTTTTCCAACACCATTTATTAAATAGGGAATCCTTTCCCCATTGCTTGTTTTTATCAGGTTTGTCAAAGATCAGATGGTTGTAGATGTGTGGCGTTATTTCTGAGGCCTCTGTTCTGTTCCATTGGTCTATGTATCTGTTTTGGTACCAATACTTTGCAGTTTTAGTTACTGTAGCCTTGTAGTATAGTTTGACGTCAGGTAGCGTCATGCCTCCAGCTTTGTTCTTTTTGCTTAGGATTGTCTTGGCTATACAGGCTCTTTTTTGGTTCCATATGAAATTTCAAGTCGTTTTTTTCTAATTCTGTGAAGAAAGTCAGTGGTAGCTTGATGGGGATAGCACTGAATCTATAAATTACTTTGGGCAGTATGGCCATTTTCATGATATTGATTCTTCCTATCCATGAGCCTGGAATGTTTTTCCATTTGTGTCCTGTCTTATTTCCTTGAGCAGTGGTTTGTAGTTCTCCTTGAAGAGGTCCTTCACATTCCTTGTAAGTTGTATTCCTAGGTATTTTGTTCTCTTTGTAGCAATTGTGAATGGGAGTTCACTCATGATTTGGATCTCTGTCTGTTATTGGTGTATAGGAATGCTTGTGATTTTCACATATTGATTTTGTATCCTGAGACTTTGCTGAAGTTGCTTGTCAGCTTAAGGAGATTTTGGGCTGACACGATGGGGTTTTCTAAATATACAATCATGTCATCTGCAAACAGAGAGGATTTGACTTCCTCTCTTCCTATGTGAATGCCCTTTATTTCTTTCTCTTGCCTGATTGCCCTGGGCAGAACTTCCAATACTATGTTGAATAGGAGTGGTGAGAGAGGGCATCCTTGTCTTGTGCCAGTTTTCAAAGGGAATGCTTCCAGCTTTTGCCCATTCAGTATGATGTTGGCTGTGGGTTTGTCATAAATAGCTCTTATTATTTTGAGATATGTTCCATCGATACTTTTTTTTTTGAGACGAAGTCTGGCTCTGTCGCCCAGGCTGGAGTCCAGTGGTGCAATCTCGGCTCGCTGCAACCTCTGCTTCCTGGGTTCAAGAGATTGTCCTGCCTCAGCTTCCCAAGTAGCTGGGAGTACAGATGCGTGCTACCACGCCCGGCTAATTTTTGTGATTTTACTAGAGATGGGGTTTCACTATTTTGGCCAGGCTGATCTTGAACTCCTGACCTCAAGTGATCTGCCCACCTTGGCCTCCCAAAGTGCTGGGATTAGGGGCATGAGCCACCATGCCCGGCCAACTATTGTTATTTTAAATAAATGTTTAAAATGTCTTAGTTTTAATTTCTAAAATGATACCTATCCATATATGTAATCTATAGAAACGAAAGATCTTTTGGGTCCCTTATAATTTATGAGTGTATAGGGGACCTGAGACCAAAATGTTTGAGAACTGCTGCTGTAATTTATTCAACCATTCTCTTAAAATTAGGCATTTAAATTGTT